>NC_000009.12:34706969-34858484 GCF_000001405.40 Homo sapiens | reverse complement strand
AGCAGACCCAGGGTCTAGGCTCATCCCTACTCACCCCAGCATTGAGCCAGCCCCCATGGACCCAGGCTCTAGGACATACCCTATGGACCCAGGTGCCAGACCTACCCTCAGCAGGCACCAAGCCAGCCTGCCCAAGAACTCCCCAAACAACCATGCCATGTAGCCTACCCAGAATCTCCAAATGGGCTGATGGATGAAGGGCTTTCTCAGACAAAGCCAGTCAGCAAAGATTGAAATATATCTTTTCTTCTTCAAATGTACAGATACCAATGCATGGCCATGAGAATCAAAAGCAATTAGGGAAAAATGACAACACCAAATAAACAAAATAAAGCGCCAGTAACTGACTCTAGATAAATGGAATCAGCTTCTTATGGAATGGAAAGAAAGATAAATAAATAAGTAAATAAATAATTTAAAAAGAAATGGAGATTTATGAACTATCTGACAAAATATTTTAAAGTAATTGTTTTTTAAGGAAGCTCAGCAAATGTCAAAAAAAAAAAAAAAAACCAGAGAAACAATTCAAAAGAACCAGAAAAATAAATAACCAAAGTTAGAAATTTAACAGAGACTGAAATGACTTTTTAAAAATCAAATGGAAATTCTGACACTAAAAAATAGGATGAATGAAATGAAAAATGCAATAGCATCAACAGCAGAACTGACTAAGCAGAAGGAAGAACATATGAACTCAAAGAATGTTTACTTGAAAATATACAGTCAGGGGGATGGGGCAAAGGCGGCCAATTAGAAGCAGCTGCATCTATGGCTCTCACAAAGAGCAATGAAAATGGCTAGTGAATTCTGCACTTTCAACTGAGGTACCCAGGTTTTCACATTGGGACTGACTAGGCAGGCGGCTCAACCCCACAGATAGTGAGGAAAAACAGTGGGGTGACAACCACCCAGGAGTGGCATGGATCCAGCAGAACCCACACCCTCAGTCAAGGGAAGCAGTGAGTGATTGTGTGACCCTGCCTGGGAAACCATGCTTTTCCCACTAATCTTTGAAACCCAGGAACCAGGAGATCCCCTTGTGAGCTTACACCATCAGGGCCTTGGGTCTGAAGCACAGAGCCAGGTGGAGCCTCAGCAGAGTGCTTGGGCACACAGGAAGACCCAGGAGTTTTGCATACTCCAACTCAGGAATTCCAGCAAGACAGGAATTCTGTCCGTGCACTCCCCTAGGAATGGGGCTGAATCTAAAGAGTCAAGTGGCGTTATCCCACGGGCCCCACTCCCATGGCACCTCACAAGTTAAGACCTACTGGCTTGGAATTCCAGCTGGCCAGTGGCAGCAGGCTGGAGATAGCCTGAGATGGACCAAGTTCCTAGGGGGAAGAGTGGCCGCCATCTCTGTGGTTTGAGTCAGCTGTTCTAGCCTGCTGGCACCAGGGATGGGGAGGAGTTCCTCACAATGCAACACAACTGCTATACCTGACTGTGGCCAGTCAGTTTTGTTAAGTGGGACCCTGATCCATCCCTTCTCACTGGGTGGTGCCTCCCTGCAGAAATTTTAGCAACTCCAGCCAGGGCTATATGTACAGAACTCTGATCTCTCCCTGGGATAGAGTCCCCATCGGGAGGGGCAGCCACTGTCTTTGTGGTTCAGCCAACTTATTCTTTACAGCCTGCTGGCTCTGGAGAGTCCAGGCAGTCAGTGCAGCACACCTGCTCTGCCAAGGGGCAGCCAGACTGCTTCTTTAAGCAGGTCCCTGATCCCATTCCTCCTGACTGGGTGAGACCTCCCAACAGGGGTCTCCAGACACCTCCTACAGGAGCATTCTGGCTGGCATTAGGTTGGTGCCCCCCTGGGACGGAGCTCCTAGAGGAAGAAGCAGGCTGCCATCTTTGCTGTTTTGCAGCCTTAACTGGTAATACCTCTAGGTGCAGGAGGGACCAAGGCAACTGGGGTCTGGAGTGCACACCCAGCAAACCATAGCAGCCCTACAGAAGAGTGGCCTGACTGTTAAAAGAAAAACAAACAGAAAGCAACAACAACAATAACATCAACAAGAAGACCCCACAATAATCCCACTTAAAGGTCAGCAAACTCAAAGACTGAATGTAGATTAGCCCACAAAGATGAGAAAGAATCAACACAAAAATACTGAAAACTCAAAAAGATAGAGTGCCTCTTCTCCAAATGATCACAACACCTCTCCAGCAAGGGCACAGAACTAGGCTGAGGCTGAGAAGGCTGAAATGACAGAAGTAGGCTTCAGAAGGTGGGTAATGATGAACTTCACTGGGCTAAAGAAGCATGTTCCAACCCAATACAAAGAAGCTAAGAATCATGGTAAAACAATACAGGAACTGATAACCAGAATATCCAGCTTAGAGAGAAACATAGCTGACCTGATAGAGCTAAAAAACACAACACAAGAACTTCATAATGCAATCACAAATATCAACAGCAGAATAGATCAAGCAGAGGAAAGAATCTCAGAGTTTGAAGACTATCTTTCTGAAATAAGACAGGCAGACAAGAATAGAGAAAAAGAATGAAAAGGAATGTATGAAATCTCTGAGAAATATGGGATTATGTAAAAAGACTGAACCTATGACTGATTAGGGTACCTGAAAGAGACAAGGAGAAGGAAAACAAGTCAGAAAACATGCTTCAGGATATCATCCAGGAGAACTTCCCCAACTTAGCAAGACAGGCCAACATTCAAATTCAGGAAGTCCAGAGAACCCCAGTAAGATACTCCACAAGATCAACCCCAAGACACATAATCATCAGATTCTCCAGGGTTTAAATGAAAGAAAAAATGCTAAGAGCAGCCAGAAGGAAAGGCCAGGTCATCTACAAAGGAAGTCCACCAGGCTAACAGTGGACCTCTCAGTGGAAACACTATAAGCCAGAAGAGATTGGGGGCCAATATTCAACATTCTTAAAGAAAAGAATTTCTAACCCAGAATTTAATATCCAGCCAAACTAAGCTTCATAAGCAAAGGAGAAATAAGATCCTTTTCAGGACAAGCAAATGTTAAGGGAATTCGTCACCACCAGGCCTGCCTTGCAAGAGCTCTTGAAATAAGCACTACATAGGGAAAGGAAAAACTGTTACCAGCCACTAAAGAAGCACACTGAAGTACACAGATCAATGACACTATTAAGCAACCACACAAACAAGTCTGCAAAATAACTAGCTAGCATCATGATGACAGGATCAAATTCACACATAACAATGTTAATCTTAAATGTAAATGGGTTAAATGCCCCAATTAAAAGATACAGAATGGCAAGCTGGATAAAGAGCCAAGCCCCATTGGTATGCTGTCTTCAAGAGACCCATCTAATGTGCAAAGACACACATAGGCTCAAAATAAAAGGATGGGGGAAATTTTACCAAGCAAATGGAAAACAGAAAAAACCAGGGTCATAATCCTAGTTTCTGACAAAACAGACTTTAAACCAACAAAGATCAAAAAAGCCAAAGAAGGGTATTACATATGGTAAAGCATTCAATTCAACAAGAAGAGCTAACTATCCTAAATATACATACACCAATACAGGAGCACTCAAATTCACAAAACAAGTTCTTAGAGACCTTCAAAGAGACTTAGACTCCCACACAATAATAGTGGGAGATTTTAACATCCCACTGACAATATTAGACCGATCATCAAGACAGAAAATTAACAAAGATATTCAGGACCTGAACTCAGCTTTGGATAAAGTGGACCTGATCGATATCTACAGAACTCTTTACCCAAAAATGACAGGATATATATTCTTCTCATTGCCACATGGCACCTACTCTAAAATTGAAAACATAATTAGAAGAAAAATACTTCTCAGCAAATGCAAAATAACTGACATAATAACAAACAGTCTCCCATACTACAGCATAATAAAATTAGAACTCAAGTTTAAGAAACTCACTCAAAGCCACACAACTTCATGGAAATTGACAACCTGCTCCTGAATGATTCGTAGGTAAATAATGAAATTAAGGCAAAAATCAAGAAGTTATTTTTGAAACTAATGAGAACAAAGAAACAATGTACCAGAATCTCTGGGACACAGCTAAAGCAGTGTTAAGAGGGAAATTTATAGTACTAAATGCCCACATCAAAAAGCTAGAAAGATCTCAAATCAACAACCTAGCATAACAACTAAAAGAACTAGAGAACCAAGAGCAAACAAATCCCAAAGCTAGCAGAAGACAAGAAATAACCAAGATCAGAAAAGAACTGAAGGAGACAGAGACACAAAAAAACTCTTCAAAAAAGCAACGAATCTGGAAGCTGATTTTTTTTGAAAAAAAAAAAAAAATAGATAGACTGCTAGCTAGACTAATAAAGAAAAGAGAGAACCAAATAGACACAATCAGAAATGATAAAGGAGATATCACCACTGACCCCACAGAAATACAAACAACCATCAGAGAATACTATAAACACCTCTATGCACATAAACTAGAAGATCTAGAAGAAATGGATAAATTCCTGGACACATACAGCCTCCCAAGACTAAATTAGGAGGAAACTGAATCCCTAAAAAGACCAATAACAAGTTCTAAAATTGAGGCAGTAACAAATAGCCTAGCAACCAAAAAAGCTCAGGACCAGACAGATTTACAGCTGAATCCTACCAGAGGTACAAAGAAGAGCTGGTGCCATTTCTTTTTTTTTTTTTTTTTTTGAGACGGAGTCTCGCTCTGTCACCCAGGCTGGAGTGCAGTGGCGGGATCTCGGCTCACTGCAAGCTCCACCTCCCGGGTTCACGCCATTCTCCTGCCTCAGCCTCCCAAGTAGCTGGGACTACAGGCACCCGCCACTACGCCCGGCTAATTTTTTGTATTTTTAGTAGAGACGGGGTTTCACCGTTTTAGCTGGGATGGTCTCGATCTCCTGACCTCGTGATCCGCCCACCTCGGCCTCCCAAAGTGCTGGGATTACAGGCGTGAGCCACCGCGCCCGGCCGAGCTGGTGCCATTTCTATTGAATCTATTCCAAACAATTGAAAAGAAGGGACTCCTCCCTAACTCGTTTTATGAGGCCATCACCATCCTGATACCAAAACCTGGCAGAGACAAAACAAAAAAAGAAAACTTTAGGCCAATATCCCCAATGAACGTCAACGCAAAAATCCTTAATAAGATACTGGCAAGCCAAATCCAGCAGCACATCAAAAAGCTTATCCACCATGGTCATGTTGGCTTCATCCCCAGGATGCAAGGTCAGTTCAAAATACACAAATTAATAAATTTAATTCATCACATAAACAGAACTAAAGACAAAAATCACATGATTATCTCAACAGATGCAGAAAAGGCCTTTGATAAAATTCAACATCTCTTCATGTTAAAAACTCTCAATAAACTAGGTACTGAAGGAACATACCTCAAAATAATAACAGCCATATATGACAAACCCACAGCCAATATTAGGCTGAATGGGCAAAAGCTGGAAGCATTCCCTTTGAAAACCAGCACAAGACAAGGATGCCCTCTCTCACCATTCAGATATCACAGGTAAAGGGGTATAAAGCTTATTTAAATAAATAATAGGAGAAAACTTTCCAAGCCTAGGGAAATATGTAACTATCCAGGTACAGAGCTGGGTGTGGTGGGGCACACCTGTAATTCCAGCTACTCAAAAGGATCAATTGAGCCAAGGAGGTCAAGACCATCTGGGCAACACAGTGAGACTCCAACTCAAAAAATACACATGTACAGGAAAGCCAAAGGTCTCCAGTCAGATTCAATCTAAACAAGTACATACAAAAACATATCATAATGAAACTGTTAAAAAACAAAACAAAGACAGGATTCTGAAAGCAGCAAGAGAAAGGAAGCATAGCACATATGTGAGTTTCAATAAGGCTAATAGCAGACTTCTCAGCAGAAACTTTATAGGCTAGAAGACAGTGGGATGATATATTCAAAGTGCTCAAGGAAAAGAAACTGACAATGAACTATACTTTGCTCAGCAAAGCTGTCCATTAGAAATTAAGGAGAGATAAAGACTTTCCCAGACAAACAAAAGCTCAGGTGTTCTTTACTCCCAGACCCATCTTATAAGAATTGCTAAGGGGAGGTTTTCAAGCTGAAAGAAAGGATGCTAATTATTAACATGGAAACATATGCAGTTGACATTTGAACAATGTAGGGGCTGGGGCACTGACCCCCCCATGCAGTTGAAAATCTGCATATAACTTTGGACTCCCCCAGAATTTACCAATAGCCTACTGTTGACCAAAAGGTTTATCAATAACATAAACAAAATTAACACATATTTTGTATATGTATTATATCTTGTATTCTTACAATAAAGTAAGCTAGAGAAAAGAAAGTCATAAGGAAGAGAAAATACATTTACTATTCATTAAGTGGAAGTGGATCATTATAGAGGTCTTCATCTTCATTGTCTTCATGTTGAGTAGGCTGAGGAAGAGGAGAATAAAGAGGGGTTGGTCTTGCTGTCTCAGGGGTGGCAGAGGCAGAAGAAAATCCACAAATAAGTGGATCCCATGCAGTTCGAAACTGTGTTACTCAAGCATCAACTGTATAAGGCACTTGTAAAAGCAAGTACATAGTCAAATTCAGAATACTTTAACACTATAATGGTGGTATGTAAATCATTTATATCCTTAGTATGAAAGTTAAAAGACAAGATGTAAATTATGACATAAAAAATATAAATTAGGGGGTAAAGTAAACATGATGAGTTTTTTTTACACAGTCAAAGTTAACTTGTGATCGACAATTAGGTGAGGGTGGGAGCCAAGATGACCGAATAGGAACAGCTCCGGTCTACAGCTCCCAGCGTGAGCGATGCAGAAGACAGGTGATTTCTGCATTTCCATTTGAGGTACCAGGTTCAACTCACTAGGGAGTGCCAGAGAGTGGGCGCAGGACAGTGGGTGCAGCGCACTGTGTGCGAGCCGAAGCAGGGCGAGGCATTGCCTCACTCGGGAAGTGCAAGGGGTCAGGGAGTTCCCTTTCCTAGTCAAAGAAAGGGGTGACAGACAGCACCTGGAAAATAGGGTCACTCCCACCCCAATACTGCACTTTTCCAACAGGCTTAAAAAACGGCGCACCAGGAGATTATATCCCGCACCTGGCTCGGAGGGTCCTACACCCACGGAGTCTCGCTGATTGCTAGCACAGCAGTCTGAGATCAAACTGCAAGGTGGCAGCGAGGCTGGGGGAGGGGAGCCCGCCATTGCCCAGGCTTGCTTAGGTAAACAAAGCAGCCGGGAAGCTTGAACTGGGTGGAGCCCACCACAGCTCAAGGAAGCCTGCATGCCTCTGCAGGCACCACCTCTGGGGGCAGGGCACAGACAAACAAAAAGACAGCAGTAACCTCTGCAGACTTAAATGTCCTTGTCTGACAGCTTTGAAGAGAGCAGTGGTTCTCCTAGCATGCAGCTGGAGATCTGAGAACGGGCAGACTGCCTCCTCAAGTGGGTCCCTGACCCCTGACCCCCGAGCAGCCTAACTGGGAGGCACCCCCCAGTAGGGGCAGACTGACACCTCACATGGCCGGGTACTCCTCTGAGACAAAACTTCCAGAGGAACGATCAGACAGCAGCATTCGCGGTTCACAAAAATCCGCTGTTCTGCAGCCACTGCTGCTGGTACCCAGGCAAACAGGGTCTGGAGTGGACCTCTAGCAAACTCCAACAGACCTGCAGCTGAGGGTACTGTCTGTTAGAAGGAAACTAACAAACAGAAAGGACATCCACACCAAAAACCCATCTGTCCATCACCATCATCAAAGACCAAAAGTAGATAAAACCACAAAGATGGGGAAAAATCGGAGCAGAAAAACTGGAAACTCTAAAAAGCAGAGCACCTCTCCTCCAAAGGAATGCAGCTCCTCACCAGCAATGGAATAAAGCTGGATGGAGAATGACTTCGACGAGTTGAGAGAAGAAGGCTTCAGATGATCAAACTACTCTGAGCTACAGGAGGAAATTCAAAACAAAGACAAAGAAGTTGAAAACTTTGAAAAAAATTTAGACAAATGTATAACTAGAATAACCAATACAGAGAAGTGCTTAAAGGAGCTGATGGAGCTGAAAGCCAAGGCTCGAGAACTACGTGAAGAATGCAGAAGCCTCAGAAGCCGATGAGACCAACTGGAAGAAAGGGTATCAGTGATGGAAGATGAAATGAATGAAATGAAGCGAGAAGGGAAGTTTAGAGAAAAAAGAATAAAAAGAAATGAACAAAGCCTCCAAGAAATATGGGACTATGTGAAAAGACCAAATCTACGTCTGATTGGTGTACCTGAAAGTGACAGGGAGAATGGAACCAAGTTGGAAAACACTCTGCAGGATATTATCCAGGAGAACTTCCCCAATCTAGCAAGGCAGGCCAACATTCAGATTCAGGAAATACAGAGAACGCGATAAAGATACTCCTCGAGAAGAGCAACTCCAAGACATATAATTGTCAGATTCACCAAAGTTGAAATGAAGGAAAAAATGTTAAGGGCAGCCAGAGACAAAGGTCGGGTTACCCACAAAGGGAAGCCCATCAGACTAACAGCGGATCTCTCAGCAGAAACTCTACAAGCCAGAAGAGAGTGGGGGCCAATATTCAACATTCTTAAAGACAAGAATTTTCAACCCAGAATTTCATATCCAGCCAAACTAAGCTTCATAAGTGAAGGAGAAATAAAATACTTTACAGACAAGCAAATGCTGAGAGATTTTGTCACCACCAGGCATGCCCTAAAAGAGCTCCTGAAGGAAGCACTAAACATGGAAAGGAACAACCGGAACCAGCCACTGCAAAATCATGCCAAATTGTAAAGACCATCGAGGCTAGGAAGAAACTGCATCAACTAACGAGCAAAATAACCAGCTAATATCATAATGACAGGATCAAATTCACACATAACAATATTAACTTTAAAGGTAAATGGACTAAATGCTCCAATTAAAAGACACAGACTGGCAAATTGGATAAAGAATCAAGACCCATCAGTGTGCTGTATTCAGGAAACCCATCTCACGTGCAGAGACACACATAGGCTCAAAATAAAAGGATGGAGGAAGATCTACCAAGCAGATGGAAAACAAAAAAAGGCAGGGGTTGCAATCCTAGTCTCTGATAAAACAGACTTTAAACCAACAAAGATCAAAAGAGACAAAGAAGGCCATTACATAATGGGAAAGGGATCAATTCAACAAGAAGAGCTAACTATCCTAAATATATAGGCACCCAATACAGGAGCACCCAGATTCATAAAGCAAGTCCTGAGTGACCTACAAAGAGACTTAGACTCCCACACAATAATAATGGGAGACTTTAACACCCCACTGTCAACATTAGACAGATCAACGAGACAGAAAGTTAACAAGGATACCCAGGAATTGAACTCAGCTCTGCACCAAGCGGACCTAATAGACATCTACAGAATTCTCCACACCAAATCAACAGAATATACAATTTTTTCAGCATCACACTGCACCTATTCCAAAATTGACCACATAGTTGGAAGTAAAGCTCTCCTCAGCACATGTAAAAGAACAGAAATTATAACAAACTGTCTCTCAGACCACAGTGCAATCAAACTAGAACTCACAATTAAGAAACTCACTCAAAACCGCTCAACTACATGGAAACTGAACAACCTGCTCCTGAACGACTACTGGGTACATAATGAAATGAAGGCAGAAATAAAAATGTTCTTTGAAACCAACGAGAACAAAGACATAACATACCAGAATCTCTGGGACACATTCAAAGCAGTGTGTAGAGGGAAATTTATAGCACTAAATGCCCATAAGAGAAAGCAGGAAAGATCCAAAATGGACACCCTAATATCACAATTACAAGAACTAGAAAAGCAAGAGCAAACACATTCAAAAGCTAGCAGAAGGCAAGAAATAACTAAAATCAGAGCAGAACTGAAGGAAATAGAGACACAAAAAACCCTTCAAAAAATTAATGAATCCAGGAGGTGGTTTTTTGAACGGATCAACAAAATTGATAGATCGCTAGCAAAACTAATAAAGAAGAAAAGAGAGAAGAATCAAATAGACGCAATAAAAAATGATAAAGGGGATATCACCACCAATCCCACAGAAATACAAACTACCATCAGAGAACACTACAAACACCTCTACACAAATAAACTAGAAAATCTAGAAGAAATGGATAAATTCCTCGACACATACACCCTCCCAAGACTAAACCAGGAAGAAGTTGACTCTCTGAATAGACCAATAACAGGCTCTGAAATTGTGGCAATAATCAACAGCTTACCAACCCAAAAGAGTCCAGGACCAGATGGATTCACAGCCGAATTCTACCAGAGGTACAAGGAGGAACTGGTACCATTCCTTCTGAAACTATTCCAATCAATAGAAAAAGAGGGAATCCTCCCTAACTCATTTTATGAGGCCAGCATCATCCTGATACCAAAGCCGGGCAGAGACACAACCAAAAAAGAGAATTTTAGATCAATATCCTTGATGAACATTGATGCAAAAATCCTCAATAAAATACTGGCAAACCGAATCCAGCAGCACATCAAAAAGCTTATCCACCATGATCAAGTGGGCTTCATCACTGGGATGCAAGAGTGGTTCAATATACCCAAATCAATAAATGTAATCCAGCATATAAACAGAACCAAAGACAAAACCACATGATTATCTCAATAGATGCAGAAAAGGTCTTTGACAAAATTCAACAACGCTTCATGCTAAAAACTCTCAATAAATTAGGTATTGATGGGACTTATCTCAAAATAATAAGAGCTATCTATGACAAACCCACAGCCAATATCACACTGAATGGGCAAAAACTGGAAGCATTCCCTTTGAAAACTGGCACAAGACAGGGATGCCCTCTCTCACCACTCCTATTCAACATAGTGTTGGAAGTTCTGGCCAGGGCAATTAGGCAGGAGAAGGAAATAAAGGGTATTCAATTAGGAAAAGAGGAAGTCCAATTGTCCCTGTTTGCAGATGACATGATTGTATATCTAGAAAACCCCATTGTCTCAGCCCAAAATCTCCTTAAGCTGATAAGCAACTTCAGCAAAGTCTCAGGATACAAAATCAATGTACAAAAATCACAAGCATTCTTATACACCAATAACAGACAAACAGAGAGCCAAATCATGAGTGAACTCCTGTTCACAACTGCTTCAAAGAGAATAAAATACCTAGGAATCCAACTTACAAGGGATGTGAAGGACCTCTTCAAGGAGAACTACAAACCACTGCTCAACGAAATAAAAGAGGATACAAACAAATGGAAGAACATTCCATGTTCATGGGTAGGAAGAATCAATATCATGAAAATGGCCATACTGCCCAAGGTAATTCATAGATTCAATGCCATCCCCATCAAGCTACCAATGACTTTCTTCACAGAACTGGAAAAAACTACTTTAAAGTTCATATGGAACCAAAAAAGAGCCCACATCACCAAGTCAATCCTAAGCCAAAAGAACAAAGCTGGAGGCATCACGCTACCTGACTTCAAACTATACTACAAGGCTACAGTAGGCAAAACAGCATGGTACTAGTACCAAAACAGAGATATAGATCAATGGAACAGAACAGAGCCCTCAGAAATAATGCCGCATATCTACAACTATCTGATCTTTGACAAACCTGAGAAAAACAAGCAATGGGGAAAGGATTCCCTATTTAATAAGTGGTGCTGGGAAAACTGGCTAGCCATATGTAGAAAGCTGAAACTGGATCCCTTCCTTACACCTTATACAAAAATTAATTCAAGATGGATTAAAGATTTACATGTTAGACCTAAAACCATAAAAACCCTAGAAGAAAACCTGGGCATTACCATTCAGGACATAGGCATGGGCAAGGACTTCATGTCTAAAACATCAAAAGCAAAGGCAACAAAAGCCAAAATTGACAAATGGGATCTAATTAAACTAAAGAGCTTCTGCACAGCAAAAGAAACTACCATCAGAGTGAACAGGCAACCTACAAAATGGGAGAAAATTTTTGCAACCTACTCATCTGACAAAGGGCTAATATCCAGCATCTACAATGAACTCAAACAAATTTACAAGAAAAAAACAAACAACCCCATCAAAAAGTGGGCAAAGGACATGAACAGACACTTCTCAAAAGAAGACATTTATGCAGCCAAAAAACACATGAAAAAATGCTCACCATCACTGGCCATCAGAGAAATGCAAATCAAAACCACAATGAGATACCATCTCACACCAGTTAGAATGGCAATCATTAAAAAGTCGGGAAAAACAGGTGCTGGAGAGGATGTGGAGAAATAGGAACACTTTTACACTGTTTGTGGGATTGTAAACTAGTTCAACCATTGTGGAAGTCAGTGTGGCGATTCCTCAGGGATCTAGAACTGGAAATACCATTTGACCCAGCCATCCCATTACTGGGTATATACCCAAATGACTATAAATCATGCTGCTATAAAGACACATGCACACGTATGTTTATTGCAGCACTATTCACAATAGCAAAGACTTGGAACCAACCCATATGTCCAACAATGATAGACTGGATTAAGAAAATGTGGCACATATACACCATGGAATACTATGCACCCATAAAAAACGATGAGTTCATGTCCTTTGCAGGGACATGGATGAAACTGGAAATCATCATTCTCAGTAAACTATCGCAAGAACAAAAAACCAAACACCGCATATTCTCACTCATAGGTGGGAACTGAACAATGAGAACACATGGACACAGGAAGGGGAACATCACACTCTGGGGACTGTTGTGGGGTGGGGGGAGGGGGGAGGGATCGCTTTAGGAGATATACCTAATGCTAAATGAGGAGTTAATGGGTGCAGCACACCAGCATGGCACATGTATACATATGTAACTAACCTGCACATTGTGCACATGTACCCTAAAACTTAAAGTATAATAATAAGAAAATAAAATAAAATTTAAAAAAAAGTTAACTTGTTATCAGCTAAAGTAACCTGTTGTAATCATAACATATTCTTGTAAGCCTCATGTTAACCACAAAGCAAAAAAACTAGACTAGATACACAAAAGATAAAGAGTAAGAATTAAAGCATACCACTAGAGAAAATCATCTAACCTCAACAGACGACAACAAGAGAGGGAAAAAGGAATAAAGGGTCTATAAAACAACTAGTAAACAATTAGCAAAATGGTAGTAGTAAGTCCTTACCTATCAATAATTACCTTGAATGTAAATGGATTAAATTCTCCAATGAAAAGACATAAAGTGGCAGAGTGGAGTAAAAAAACAAGACCCAACTGTATGCTGCCTGCAAGAGAATCACTTTTCCTTTACAGATACATAGAAATTGAAAGTGAAAGGATGGAAAAAGAGATTTCATACAAATGAGAACAAAAAGAGAGGAAGGGTAGCTATACTCAGATAAAATAGACTTTAAGTCAAGAACTGTAAAATAAGACAAAGAAGGTCATTATATAATGATGGAGAGGTCAATTCATCAAGAGGATATAATCATTGTAAATATAGCATATATGCACCCAATATTGGAGCACCTAAATATATAAAGCAAATATCAATAGGTCTAAAGGGAAAAATAAGACTAGTAAAATAACAGTAGGGGACTTCATACCCCACTTTCAGCAGTTGGGAAGATCATCCAGACAGAAAATCAATAAGGAAACATTGGACTTAAACTATGCTTTGGACCAAATGGACCTAACAGACATTTACAGAACATTTCATTCAACAGCAGCTGAACGCACATTTCTCTCAAGCACACGTGGAACATTATTCAATATAGATAATATGTTAGGCCACAAATAACAAATTTAAGAAGAGTGAAATAACACATTTAAGAAGAGTGAAATAACAAATTTAAGAAGACTGAAATAATGTCAAGTATCTTTTCCAACCTCAATGGTATAAAACTAGAACTTGTTAACAGGAAGAATTTGGGAAAAATTCACAAATACCTGGAAATTAAACAACATGCTCCTGAATAACCAATGGATCAAATAAATCACAAGGGAAATTAGAAAATATCTTGAGGCAAATGAAAGAGGAAACACAATATCAAAACTTATGAAATGCAGGAAAAACAATTCTGAGAGGGAAGTTTATAGCAATAAATGCCTACATCAAAAAAGAAGAAAGATCTCAAGCAACCTAATGTTACACCTCAAGGAACTAGAAAAAGAAGAACAAACTAAGCCCAAAGTTAGTGAAAGGAAAGAAATAATAAAGATTAGAGGTTAAATAAATAAAATAGACACTAGAAAAACAACAAAAAATATGAACAAAAGGAAGAGTTGGTTATTTGAAAAGAAACAAAATTGACAAATCTTTAGTTACATTAAGAAAAAAAGAGAGAAGACTCAAATAAATAAACTCAGAATGAAAGCGGAAACATTACAATTGATACCACAGAAATACAAATGATCATAAGAGCCTACCAGGAACAATTATTCACAAACAAATTAAATAACCTAGAAGAAATGGATAAAGTCCTAGAACATACAATCTACCAAGAAGGAATCATGAAGAAATAGAAAATCTGAACAGATCAACAATAAATATGGAGATTGAAACAGTAATAAAAAGTCTCCCAACAAAAAGAAAAGTACAGGACCTGATAGCTTCACTACTGAATTCTACCAAATATTTAAGAACGGATACTGGTCTGACATGGTGGTTCACACCTGTAATCCCAACATTTTCAGAGGCTGAGGCAGGAGGATTGTTTGAGGCCAAGAGTTAAAGACCAGCCTGGGCAATGTAGTGAGATACTGTCTCTAAAAAAATAAAAATTAAAAAATTAAATAAAAAAAATTAGCCAAGCATGGTGAAATAATAAATGTATGTTATTTTGAATCACTAAATTTTGTGGTAATTTGTTATGCAGCAATAGACAAATAAAACAACATTCAACCCAATCCCAATTAAAATCCCACTACAGAAATTGAAAAACGTATTCTAAAATTAATGACCTATAATAGCCAAAATAGCTCTGAAAAAGATTACTTATTCCACCTGACTTCAAGACTTAGTATAAAACTACAGTAATCAAGATAATGTCACTGACATTAACAAAGACAAATAGATCAATGGAACAGAATAGCATTCAGAACTAGGCCTATACATATATGGTCACTTGATATTTTTTTAACTTGTTACAATTTTTATTTTTGTGAGATACACACTTTCCAAAAGATTTGCATTGTTCATACAGTAGTATTTTATAAGCCACATTAATAATGTTTTCATGCAACAAACCATAAGGTTCAAAGTTGTTTGGCAATCTAATATTTTTACATTAATATTTTAGAGCTCATAATGTGGTGCCAGACTCCTAAAAGCCATCAGAAAATTAGTCTCATTCTTTTGGAATCAGTTTACTAATAAGGATGAAAACAATCCAACATTTATGGATTTCTAGACAAGTAATGTGTCCTTTACCACTTTTTGGTAATTGCTTTTCAATTGGTTTCTAAAAATTAACACAATAGGAAAAATGTTTGTACAAAGCTTCACCATAAAAATGGATGACACAGAGTGCATGAAAAAATGCTCAACATCATTATTAATTAGAGAAACACGGATTAAAACCCCAAAGTGATACCATTACACATATATTAGAATGGCTAAAATTAAAAAGGATTGTACCAAGGGTTGACAAAGATACAGGAAAACAAACTCTCATACACTGCTGGCAGGAATGGAAATAGTACAACCATCTTGGAAAACAGTTTGGAAATTAAAAAAAATTAAACACACACAGTTTTAATCATTCATGCTGCTATAACAAATACCACAGATTGGGCAACTTATAAAGAACAGAAATTTATCTCTCACAGTTCTTGAGGCTGGATGTACAAGATCGAGGTGCTGGCAGGTCCTGTGTCTGATGAGGGCCCAGTCTCTGCTTCCAAGATGGAACCTGGTTGCTGCATCCTCCAGAGGGGACAAATGCTGTGTCTTCATATGGTGGGAGGGGCAAACAGCTCCTTCACATCTTATTTATAAAGTCATTAATCCCATTCATGAGGGCAGAGGTTTTATGCCCTAATCACCTCCCCAAAAGCTCCAACTTCTAATACCATCACCTTGGTAATTAGGTTTCAATCTATGAAATTTGGAGGGACACACACATTCAAACCCTAGCATACAACTATCATATGATTCAGTCATTCTACTCCTGGGTATTTACCCAAGAAAAATGGGAATACATGTCCTTATAAAGACTGGTACATGAATGTTCATAGCAGCATTATTTCTAGTAGCCCCAAACTGGTAATAACTCAAATGTCTATCAACTACCGAATGGTTAAACAAATTGTTATATATGCATACAATGGAATCTACTCTGCAATAAAAAGGAATGAACTAATAATATACAAAACAACATGAATATATTCAAATAATTGGGCTGAGTGCAAGAAGCCAGACATAAATGTATACATACTGCATGATTACGTTTATATAAAACTCTAGAAAAATGCAAACTAAACTACAGTGATGGAAAATAGATCAATGGTTTGGAAGAGAGAGGAAATGAAAGGGGTAGGGAAAAACAATTACAAAGCGGTATAAATAAAGTTTTGAGGATGTGTTAATCTTGACTGTGATAATGGTTTCACAAGTATATACAAATGTGAAAATTTATCAAATTGTTCACTCTTTGTTTGTTTTTTGAGACGGAGTCTCACTCTTGTTGCCCAGGTTGGAGAGCAGTGGTGCAATCTCGGCTCACTGCAACCTCCGCCAACTGGTTCAAGCGATTTTCCTGCCTCAGCCTCTGGAGTAGCTGGGATTACAGGCGGCTGCCACCACTCCTGGCTAATTTTTGTATTTTTAGTAGAGACAGGGTTTCACCATGTTTGACAGGCTAGTCTTAAACCCCTGACTTCAGGTAATCTGCCTGCCTCGGCCTCCCAAAGTGCTGGGATTATAGGTGTGAGCCACTGTGCCCAGCCTAAATTGTTCACTTTAAATATGTGTAGCTTATTGTACATTAATCATACCTCAGAAAAGTGTTTTTAATTACTAAACTCTAGACAAATGAAAAATTTAAGCAACAAAAATGAAACTGTGGTATATACTCAAAAGGACTGAAAACAAGGATTTGAACAGATACTTGTAAACCAACATTCACTTGAACATTATTCACGACAGCAAAAAGGTGGAAACAACTGACGTATTCAATATGGAAAAGAGGCACTCTTAAAACATTTTTTAGAAGTGTGAATTTCTGGCTGGGCGCGGTGGCTCACGCCTGCAATCCCAGCACTTTGGGAGGCCGAGACGGGAGGATCACAAGGTCAGGAGATCGAGACCATCCTGGCTAACACGGTGAAATCCCGTCTCTACTAAAAATACAAAAAATTAGCCGGGTGTGGTGGCGGGCGCCTGTAGTCCCAGCTACTCAGGAGGCTGAGGCAGGAGAATGGCATGAACCCGGGAGGCGGAGCTTGCAGTGAGCCGAGATCGCGCCACTGCACTCCAGCCTGGGGGACAGAGCGAGACTCTGTCTCAAAAAATAAAAAATAAAATAAAAAAAAGAAGTGTGAATTTCTACAATTGGAGGGCAATTAGGCAATATAAACATTGAAAATGCACACACCCTTTGACCCAGCAATTTCACTAGAAGGAATTTTTCCTACATATATACTTATATATTTATGCAAAGATTTATATTATATAAGGTTTGCATCAGCATTTTTAGAGCAAAATTATACGAACTATTCAAGAATATGGCATGGAAGATGAACTGTGTTTCAGCCATATCAAGGAAAATATTAAAGACATTAAAGAAAATGATATGCTCAAGATATATTTATTTTATTAAATGAAATAAGACTGTAATCCTAGCATCTGGGGGGGCTCAGGTGGGACTTGGGAGGCTGAGGCAAGAGGAACCCTTGAACCCAGGAGTTAGAGGCTGCAGTGAGCTATGATTGTGTCACTGCACTCCAGCCTGGGTGACCTTGTCAGAAGAAGAAGAAGAAGAAGGAAGGAGAAGAGGAGGAAGAGGAGGAGGAAGGAAGGAAGGGAGGGAGGGGAAGAAGAAGGAGGAGGAGGAGAAGAAGAAGAACAAGGAGGAGGAGAAGGAGAAGAAGAAGGAGGAGGAGGAGAAGGAGGGAAATTAGAGAGAAAAGTATCTATACTATCTATACTATCTTTCCCTTTGTGAATAAAACATTGAAATTCATTTTTTAAATTTATGCTAGACTAGTCTGGAAAGATACACAAGAACCTGATAGAAGTGATTGACTGAGGGAATAAAAATGAGAGATGAGAGACAAGGATGAGGAGACAGTATGTTATATCTTCTTCTACCTTTTGAAGTTTATACCATTTATATGTATGCTTACTTTAAAAAATCAATTAATCTAAGTGATTAAAATAAAATAAATGCAAAGGCCCTCCATCAAGGAGGGCCTCACCCCTGCTCCTCCAATCTTTCCCACAATTGCTCTCCAATCCATTCATCTGCACCTCTGCTAAAGATAGACTGCATTTTTTAGTATCAAATGAACTCTGTGGCACATTCCTTGGGGTTCTGCGTTTGTTAGGAATTTTCTCTGCCACCTGGAACAGTCCTTTTCCCTATAACCTGCACTTTTAGACAAAACTCCAAAATTAATCTCCCCAGGAACCCTCTCTGACCAAACTGATCCCCTCCATGCATTCTCTCTCTTGAAAAGTTGAGACCTGAACCTCAGTAATACATCAAATTATTTGAAATAAGCCATTGGCTCTTGATTCACGTAAATTTGTCTTGTCTTCGAAACTAGATTTTTAAGTGTCTTGAGAGGAGGAAGCCAACATGACTCAAAGTCCTTGTACCCTTGACATCACCCAGCTTAGGGATGAGCATACTGAATATACTTACCATGCCAGTGAGGTAAAGGATGGGATGCTGGATGAATGTTCAAAGATTTCGAGCCCAAGAATTTTTTTCTCCGCTTTTGGCTATAACCATTCTCACCAGGGCAACACCTTCTAAGAATATTCAGAAATCATTGGCTGTTAGGGAAGTATTGCAATATTCATGGAGGTTAAGCAGGTAACATAAATGTATAAATTAATCGGCAGAGTATAGGAGTGATGAGTCCTGAGGCAAAAGTGGAAAACAGCTGCTCTGCTTTAAAAGTTTCCAGAATCCGACTCAAGCAAACAAATAAAAATCCTACAGGCAAACAGAATACATCCAGAGATGAATAGATCCAACCACAAGCAGCAACCAGTTTGCGACCCAAAGCCAGAAATGGCTACTAATCCATCTCTACAGGCATTCATCTCCCTGAACAGGCAGAATGCTATAAGAAGGACAGAGGCAGCTCTAGAAAACCATGATTTGGACAGTATTCCAGAAGTGAGCCACATTAATGTGCCTCAAAAAGATTGCAGCATTTACAATCTCTCCCCACCCATCTGCAAGCTTGAGGCCACACAGACTGGATAGATACGGCCACCTTGGCCTCTCCCTATCACCCTACCACATCAGCCATAATCCCCTTCCCGCACCTCTGTTACCAATCACCCATTGCCTGAAACATCAAAGATCTCCATCTCCAAGCCATAACCAGACTCTGCCCTCCCTAAATTCTTGTGTGCTTCTCAGGTATATTTCCAAAACTAGTGGGAGAGTTAGTGGAGGTTCCTCCGGCCTAACCACCCCTTCTCATAAGGTGCCCCTGTGCCAAAGCACTCAGTTTTCTGAGGACAGGTGACCATACAGTTGTGAAGGACAGAGCCGAGACATCAGGCTGGTATAGGGAGTGGAAAGTGAAGACAGACTAGGAAATAGACACTGCTTGTGGCACCTTCAGTCCCAGGCTCAAAACACCCTCATCTACAGACTGAATCACCACATGAGCTTCCCTACTACATGTACCTTATGAAACAGGAGGGCTTTGTGATGCAGTCTGGTGGCCTAGTTCCGTCCTCTGTGAGGTGGATATGACAAGGCCTAGCACTGGGAGTCATTAGGCACCAGAACCCTGAATGCCGAGATAGAGGGATGGCTGATCTCATGCTAATGAGGTTTAGACCATGTTGAGCCCTACTTTTGTTCTGTGGGATGTTGGATATCCCTTATACACCTATGGCTCCATCTTCATCGTTATTGTAATTATCTGGCAAGTGAAAAGGAGCCACCATGAATTGAACTTGGAAGTTGAAAGGAGCTGCTGCTGGGTAGGGCAACACTATGATTCCAACTGAACTAATTAAGCCTCAGATAATATGCTTTTAAGCTCCAGAGTCCTTCCTTATTGACCCCACTTCCCCTCTCCCCCAATTTTTATGCCATACCTTTAGTTACTTTTATATAGTCTTTTCCTTCTCAGAGCCTAAAAGTAATTCCTTACCAGGTCTTCCCTGAACCATACTCTAATTGAAAAGCCAAGAAGCTTTCCATTTGACTTGAATAGAGACCTAGATGATATGGGATCTATCTCACTGGATCTCAAAAGACCTCACAATATGGGGGATTTTTTTGGTTGGTGGCCCTTTAAGGTGTTTATAAACTGAAGTCTTTAGGTATTAGAACCACATACTCTTTGATCTGTACTATCCTTTCTCTTGCTTCATCCTCAGCATCCAGCAGGACTTATCTGGGAATCAGATGGAAGGTATAGAATTTGGAAAAGGCTCCAAGTGAATCCGAAATAAGCAGAGAAGGAAAATGGAGTAAAAAGGTGGAATAGGCAAAGAAAATCCAGGAAAGCGTATAAAATACAGATAGATATATAGAAAGGGAGTGGAAAATAAATGTAAGTCTCATTTTGGACATGAGAAAGAAAATGGTGTCCCAGCTTCACATTCTAATGTTTTTGTCTTTTAAGCGTCACCAAAAAGTCAGGCAAAGAGCTAGAGATGCAGCATCAACAGGTGAAGTCCCAATCTCTCCTCTGACTCCCTTCCACTGTGGGTGTTTCCTATGAATCCTGTCCCTCTATGACCCCTGGAGCCAAGAGCCAGGTGCTCTGCCACTGAAGACTCCAGTTCCCCAGACTGAAACTTCCATGGGTGGGAAATCTTACCTTGGAAACGTTCCAAAATTCTCTACATTATTCCCATGGGAATAAAGAATTGAGGAAATAGTGCAGATGTCCTTAGCTGTGTCATTTGCTAGTTTTAAAACCTGTGGAAGTCACTTCATCTCTCAGTCTTGTTTGCCATAACATGGGCATCTGATGATCCTCTCACTCACAGTATGGTTGTTAAAGTCAAATAAGAATGGGCACAGAAGAACAAGTCATGATTCATTACACTGTGCACAGAAAGGCCTTAAAGCATTTATAATTAGGGTTCTCAGTGTCTTCTTGCTGAGAGTCAAAGGCCTCCAACCTCCTCCAGATACTCTGAAAACTCTACCATGCCACTGTCTACTATAACACTGTCTTCTGGTTCCTCAGCTAGGAGACTTTCTCAGGAAGAAGATCAGAAGCCACAAGAGCTGTTCTCTGTCATGAAAAGGTGATCTATTGCTGTTTGCAGTCTCTAAACACCAGCCTGGCCTGTGGTGATTTTTTCATTTAGCCTGGGGCAGGACTGAGGAGATGGAAAATGGCTGGGAGGGAGACATACACAGTGGAGGCTGGTTCACTAGTTGAGAGGGTTGCAAAGGCATAATTATCTCAGGAGGAAAGAGTCACCCAATACTGATTTGGGGCAGGGTCACAGTAGTTCTGAAATTCAGGATTTTACTAGTACATTATTCATAAAAGACATTATATGGGGTTCTACTCAGCTCTGAGATATGTTATCCAGTCAAGAGAATGGATTTTGCATGAGAAAGTCACCCATGTCACATTCTCTTTACAGCTACATCCTTACATGGGCAGACTGAGCTGACCAAGATGAACCCTGCTGATAATACTTCCTTTAGTTCTGTATTCAAGGAGTCCAGTTCCTGGCACAGCCCTAAGACAGGAGCCTATCATCTTATCCTCTTAAGATTTCTAGAGAAAAAGATTGATTCCCAGGAGATGTTGGGTACATCATCAGGGATATCTCATAGCCCCCAGAATGCATAAGTACCACATAAACCTCATTTTCCACAGTTTGGATGTACTGAAAACTAGACTTCGGGTTTCTTAGCCTCAAATGAGACTGCAAGACAGTTCTACCTTGTGATATTCCTGGTTATGCCCCATCAGCTAACCAACTGACTCTTCCACATGCTTGGTTCCTTTCTCCTAGTTCAGCTTCTCAACAAGGCCAACACAGAACTCAGCTCCCAGTCTTCTCTGAGGGCCATGCCCTTCTGTGGGTTGTCTGAGGCCTTGTCCAACAAGTCCTAACCCCCAGCCCACCATACCTTACCAAATGCCATTTTCTTAAGAAGAAAAGTAGAGGAGTAGACATGAAGGGGGTGTAGGCTTCTAGACTTGCAGGACTAGGGAAGGGCAATGCCAACGCTAGCCCACACTCTTCCAAGAAGGTAGATGCTACTCCATCATTAATGTTTGCCATGTTTCTCTTTCCAGCCAGGGCTGGCTTCCCCCAGAGGGAAGTGTGCGGCGAATCCTATGTACAGATCCCTGTTGCCAAATTTGCAATGCTATGGCTCTGGAGATTCAGCAGTTGCTGGCGGATGAGAATGACTAGATCTCCCCAACTTTGTCGAGGAGTCCATCACAGGTCTCCTCTTGCCTAGAGATCTTGTCTCTGTCTAGTGTATCCTTTGAGCAGAGTATAGAGCTCCATTCCAGAAATATCAGAGAGCTTTCACTGGCATCTATAAACCCAACACTGTCACAATTAACAGATCAGAAATCTTTAACCCAGTCAGCTGCCCAGTCAACGTATGCAGATGGCATACAAGATTACTGGGCTGATCACCTCCAGCTAGGGCCGGAATTTCAAGTGCCAGCTGTGCTCCGGGGCCCAAACACCATAGCTTCTTCAAGGCTTGACAAGCCAAGGGCTCCACTGAACCAGGAGGAGATGAGCAGAGCAACCCCAGCCTTGTCCAGGGAAACCAAGGCCAGCATCACTTGAATTTCCAGGTCTCCTTGCTGTCCCTGAACCCAGAAACCCTGAACCGGATGCATCCGATGGCCTTGCATATGGTCCTCCCTGCCCACCTGCCATTTCTCAGTCCTGAAGTGCTGAGGCTTCTTGAGGTACATGTTAAAAAATGGATGCATTTCCAGAGGTGGGGGCTCCCAAGACGTGTGGAGGAGTCCCTGAGGCAGCTTATGCCAAACCCACCATTGTATTACCAACCTGGAAATGACCAGCCAGTTTCTTTCAACCTGAATAATACTTCTCAGGTCTCTCTTCACAGATCTGAGACCATTTCCCTCCAGACCTGGTGTTCATGTGTGGCTGGCCAGCCCATCCAGACCTTCTGGGTTTCTGAATGGTCCACAATGAACCCAGAACAAAGACACCACTGTCAGCAAACTCCAAACCCTATGGCTCTAGCCTTGCCCTCTCCAGCCCTTAAAGCCCTAAGTGGCCCCCATCCACAGTCTGGGGGACAAGATAATGACTCAGGGAGTGATCTCCAGCAGAAATACAGCCAGCTATTCTGTGGGCTCCCTTCTCTGCACAGTGAGTCCCTGGTTGCCACTTTCATGGGATCTCAAGGCCTTCCCAAGATTGAAAATGTGCCCAAGCCCCCCTTGAAGGATCCTTTTCTCTTCAATGATCTCTCCTTCCCCCAACTGCTCCCTAAAACTTCACCCCAGTCAGCCCCACCCTCTTCCCCACTTTCGCCAAATTGGGTGTCTCCATCTGACCATCAACGAGCTCAGATCAATGTCCCATTTCTGACTCTGGCTGAGTATGAAGCCTTGGAGTGGCACCTGCTACAGAGGCAACTCCAGCTTCAGTGGGGCTGGCCAGCTGCCCTCCAGAGGTCTCAGCACACCCAGTGCCTCATGCAGCATGAGCCCTGTGGCAAAGCTCAGTCTCCTGAGACCACGACAGCTTCCCAGACAGGGAAGTCCATCTCAGTGCTCACCAGGGAACTACTCTTCTTCCCGGAGCATGCCCGGAAGCTGCTGGAATTCCACATCCAGAAACAGTCGATTCGCCATCGCTGGGGCCTGCCTCAGAAGATCCAGCAGTCCATCCAGTTGCTCCTTACCTCCACTGACCAGCAGACTGTGTCCAGCAGCAGCACAGCCCTAGCCAACGTGAGCATCCCCCAGCCTGTAGCCCTAGAGGCCAACGGGGCTTGCGATGTGCTGTCACCCATTGCGGCCCCAGTGTCCATCCCCAGGCCACACTTGTTAACTCAGGTCAAGGCAATACTGCAGAGCCACATCGACTCCAAATGTGGACAAATCCACCAGGGCAAGATCCCCGCCTGTGTACACAGGTCCTGGGACTGCAGAATTTCTGGGGTCCTGGCAGTGGCTCCTTTTCCCTGCATTCCAGAAAGCCAGTTCCTGGTACTGCAGACAGCAAGTGACCCAGACCTACATCACAAAGTTATGCCCTGGATGCCAACGGCCCTTGATCAGCAGCAACAGGCCTTACCAGGTACTGTCACTGAACACCCTAAGCTGCTCCGAGTCTTGTCTGTGGAAGCCATTGAGAAACTGGAGACAACTTTACGGCACAAGCATCTGGCCTTCCTGTCGGGGCTGCCTGCTCTGTATTATGTGGCGCTCCCCAGGGCCCTGGCCCCGGCAGTCACTAGCCAATCTGTCATCACAGAGATGGAGCCTAGTCCCGTGGAAATCCCAGCAGAGCCTCTGATTTAGATGGTTTCATTTGAAGAACAGTGTATAAGTCTTGGGCCATGCCCTCAAGGCAACAATGAGAGTTGTACAGACGTTGCAAAAGAGTTCCAGCCTGCAGTGCCAGTAAAAGGAACAATGGAGACGCTGCCTCTAGAAAGCCAGACGCATCCTACTAGCCCCCACTCACTCCAGACACATATCTTGACCAAACTAAACTTCCACCTGAGAAAAAAGGTCCTAGAGATACAATGGGGAATTCCCATTAGGGCAAGGAAGTCCAGGGAACAAACTGCTGCAGCACCAGAGAACATATCCACACAGAAGTCTCTTGAAAGTCTAAACCACCAAGGGGAGACATTGCTCCAGGAACTGCCCATCCCACCAGACACTCTTCCTGCCCCTAATCCAGAAGGGGTTCACCTTAAAGAACAGCTGGCCAATGACTTGAAGGCAGTGCAGCAGAACCAAAAGCAATCCAATTCCAAAGCAGTACCCCAGGGTTCTGCCCACTCGGTCTCCAAGATCTCACAACCCAGTGGGGACATGACAGAGGCCCACATGCCTTGTGTTCAGGTAGAGGCCAGTGTGAACAACCCCAGCCTGGAGGAACCCTGTGGCCCTGAGCCTCAAAGCCCTAGCAAGAGCAAGGACCCAGCCCATGTCCCCATGCTAGCAGGAAACAGAGAGGACCCAGAGGAAACCAAAGCAGCCAGGGACTACAGAGAAGGGGATGCGGGGTTTGGGCGCTCCTCAACCAGAGAAGAGAGACGCCCTGCTGAAGACCAGAGGCCAGCAGGGATGCTTCCAAACAAGACACCCCGAGGGTCCTGGCGATGGAGCCGTAGCTTTCATCTTGCTGATCCCTGTCAACACAGCCCCCAGCATCACCCTCAGTTTAAGCTCCCACAGCTACCTCCACGAGTCCCTGGGGAGAAAGAGTCTGAGAAGGACCTGCAAGACAGTCAAACCAAGCTAACTGTCATCCTTGAACCAGCAACAATTCCTGAGAATACCCAGACTGTGGTGCCCCAGCTTCACAGGGTCAGCCTTTCCTGAGCCAACCAACTCAGGCTAAGCCTTTGCAGGGCCAAACTTTGCAATGCCAAGTTTTACATGGGCTGGTGATGCCAGCCCATACTCAAAAGAAGCCCAGCCTTACAGAGTCTAGCTTCAGAAATAAAATTAAATGTTTTCTGGAGTGTATTAACCCCAAGACAAAAGGCAAAGGGCACAAGGATTCCATGTTCTCTGCCACTGTGAAGGTGGCCAAAACCAGAAAAGAAAATGTTGCAAAGAGCCTGGCTCCAGCCAAGAGCCCTGTGGGGAGAAGTAAGACAGAGAAGCCGACAGGGTGCTCCAAGGCCCAATCTCATCGTGCTCAGAAGCTGATGGGCCCAGCTTTCTTGGATGGTCCCCAGTCCCTAGACAATAAGCTTCGGTTACACTCCAGACAACCTGGCTCTGCCTCAACCCCAGGCCACCCCCACCACTGTCCTCGTCACTGTCCTTGAGTGGCTTGTGCCCCCCAACCAGGGCACCCACCCTAGCTCCTAACCCTCAGTTCAGATAGAAACATTGGTCTGCTCAAGGA
This sequence comes from Homo sapiens, assembly GCF_000001405.40. Taxonomy (NCBI): domain Eukaryota; kingdom Metazoa; phylum Chordata; class Mammalia; order Primates; family Hominidae; genus Homo; species Homo sapiens. The sequence continues at coordinate 34,832,250 of NC_000009.12, read as the reverse complement.
GAACACACAGAGCCATGAAAAAGAGTTTATAGGCTCCCCAACTGCTGCAGCCCTCCAGAGGACCAGTATTTTCATTTCCATAAATATGCTGGTGGGGCAGGGTGCCACTAGAAATGCACTCTATATGTTTCAGCAATACGTTGCCCATCTGCTCCTTATCTCCACTGTATTGTGTTAAGGGAAGGTGTGAGGGAGGCTAAAAAGACCTTCCTGTCTAGGGAAGGAGCTTTAACCCACAATTCAGATGGTTCATTTTAGAGGAGTGCCACAGTATTCCCTCCTTGAGGAGGTGCTTTTGTGTTTATCAAAACACAATATCTAATAAGACAGATGTCAGATCCAGATGATAGACTCTCCTCTGACTTCTCCCTGTTTATACTGGGAAGATCTTTCTAGAAAATCCATCTTGGAGCCTGCTGTAATCCTGCTGCCTGTTTACTGCCTCCACTGCCTCTCAGTTGCATGAAATGAAAGCCTCCTGGAATGAGATGACAGTAGAAAATGGAGAAGGGCCTGTCCCACAGGCCCAGGGATTGGTAGGGAGCAGGGTCACGTAGTTGGAGGTCAGAGTACCTGTGACAAAAGTTGATTCTCATGCCTGACCAGGACATGAGAATAGAGAAAAGACAGTTTGCTTGGTGCTAAAATGAGCCTAGAGCCAGGAGGCAAACCCAAGGCCCAAGTGCTTTGGGAGGGATCACTGAGCTTAGTTCTGCTTGCCCTTAGTGTGATGAAGGGCAGGGTGTTGAGCACTGAAGTTTCTGGGAAAGAACCACAAATATAAGAGGTTTTCTAAACATATGTGAGCCTGTCAAGTTACTGCCAGCAGCTTGTACCCAGGCCTACTGTTTCTATACCACCTGTGCCTGGAGCCCTTCTCCACCACTCTCCTTGCCATGATCCTTACTCCTTAAATTTATCTTCACAGTAACTAATGGTGGGCACCCAGTCAGCTGAATCCCCTCCCAGGATCTACCTGGTGCCTTTTCCTCAGGGGATGACTCCTACACTTTTTCCTGCCAAGGACGGCACCACAGAAGCCTGGCAGCTCCAGCCCTTGGTTCCTGTCACCCTTCTACATCTCTTCATTGTGTCCCACTGCATTTCTGAAAACACTGAAGCCAATCACCTTGGCTGTCAAAAGAAGACAAGGCTTTTGGAAAGTGTCCTATTAACACAGAAAGTGACCACAAATCTACAATTTAATGCCACACATGAGTCTAACAATGAGATCAGCTGCTCATAACTGAGGTGGTGGGACTCTGGCCCTTTTGCCTCTCTCTGGGAATGTCCAATATTTTGCTATTCAGGGAAATACATAGTTATTATTAATTGAAATACTATGTGGAATTCTCTGAAACCTTTGGAATGAAATGAAGTCCAAGAGGGAGGCTGAGTGGCAAGCTGAGATCTACAAGGAGCTGCTAAGAAATGTAAGCCCCTCTCAGTGATATCCTATTCACATTCTCCCTCACACACAGATTAAACAAAGTCCCTCCTACAGACCTGCTTTGGGAGGTCTCTCAGTGTAGCTTGCCATACCAAGATGTTCCTAGAGTTCTTTCCTGCTACCTTTTCGGTCGAGCCTCCCACCCCAATCCCAGCACCATCACTGGGTGAGTGATCCACCACCAAAGGCAGCTTTGGTAATCCTAGCCACACATCAAGCCTCTTAATAATGGCCATCATACTCATATTCCTTCGAACCTCTAAGGAGACCTAAGGGGACCTTGTCCTTCCTTCTCCAGTTACTTGGGTTAAGGCAGGCACTAGTCTCCCTGGAACGCCTGACCTCTTAAGGAGCCATGGCAGAACAGCATAGCTCAAGGTTGTGCTTGCTCCACTCAATAGGTTAAATATGAGTAAAAGATTTGGGTCACCCCCTTCCCTCTGGAAATTTCTGGCTGAAGTGACCAAAGAATGATTTTAAGGCAAAATGATAAACATGAACAAAGGGCAATAAAACAGCACAAAGAAAATATTACAAAATTCTTGAGCAAGTGTTTTTGTAACTTTTAGGACAAATGCCTGACCCTGTGGGGAGAATGCAGATTTTAAAGTCAAAGTCACAAGAATGGAATGTGGGGAAAAATGAAGTTTAGAATTCTAGCTCAGAGATTTGACAAGTTACTTAACATTTCTGAGCCCCAGTTTCTAGATCTGGCAAAATGGGATAATTGTACATACATACCCCAAACCTCAATTACTGTTAATGTACTGATGATTCTCAAAGCCACATTTCTGACCCAGTCTTTCCACTGAGCTCCAAACTGTATATTCAACAACTGACACAAAACTCTATCTTGTTACAGAGACAATGCAAATTAATTCAAAACCTCCACCTCACCAACCTGATTTCCAAAGTCAGGGAACGTTATCACTATACATTCACTTTTTTTCTCAGTTCATACATCAAGACAGTCACTGGGTTCTAATCTTGATGACTCTCAAGTTAGCCCCCTTTCCTCTATTTTTACTGACTCTCCTTGTAGTTCAGTTTCTCATCCTTAACTTGCCTGAATGGTTAAAATATGCCTCATAACCCCAGGGCCTAAGAAAGTAGCTAATGCATAGTAATACCTTATATTAGTTGAATCCAAAGTCTGCGCTGAGGAGGCAGAGAAAGCGTTACATCTTTGTGATGAGTGCTATAAGGTGTGAGGTTGTGCCACAGGAGGAAGTAATTAGCTGGTCAGGAGAATCCCAGAAGGGTCACAATAAAAATTACTTTGAAAAACATCTTACATTCAATAATTAAAATATTGGAATACTTACTATGTGCCAAGTACTATGCCAAACATAACAAACAAGACACAAGCCTTGCCCCAGGGGAGCTTGTCATCTCATGAGGTAGATAGTCTCATAGGTTCAAATTGCCTAATCAACATATATATTTGGATATCAAATATTCATCTCAACCTATACAAAAATGAACTCTCGATTCCCTGCCCACCCACCACCATCATCCATTTACACATACCAAATCTGCTCCAATCATGGTATTTCTCACATCAGTTAAAGGCAATTCCATCTTTCCAGTAATTCAGGGCAAAAACAATAGTGTCATTCTTGAATTTTTTTTCCTAACAGTCCACATCCGTTCCATCAGTAAATCCTGTTGTCTTTACTTCAAAAATCCATCCAGAATATGACCACTTCTCACTCTCTCTACTGCTACCATTACTGCAGTAGCATCATAACGTCCCCCATTTTATCCTGACACCATATCCCCAACAGTCTATCTTCAACACAGAAGCCTGATAGTCCTCAGGGAGGGTCCTGGTTGCAGATGACAGACAGACATAGATATAGATATAGATATAGATATAGATATAGATAAAACCATGCAACTGGATAACATCACCATGGAACTAAGTGTAAATGAAGAGATCTAAAGACTGGGCTAGGACACTCTAAAGTTAACTGGGAATAAAAGGAGGAGCCAGTAAATAGAGGAACAAAGAAGCAGTAGCCAGTGAGGTAGGAAGAAAAACAGAAGAGTGTGGTGTACTGAAAGCAAAGAGAGGAAAGTATTTCAAAGAGAAAATGATAAACTGCATAACCAGTTGCCAACTAGTCAAGCAAGATGAATGGCATTCAATTTAAAAACATAGAGATCCTCTGTGACATTAAGAAAAACAGATTTAGATGAGTGATGAAGGTGTGATGGGAGTGGATTCAAGATACAACAGAAGGAGAGCAATTGGTGATAGCAAGTATAATCACGTATTCAAGGAGGTTTGTTCCAGAGAGGTGCAGAAAAATGAGGAAATAGCAGAAAGAGAACATGGGATTCAGAGAGGGTTTTTGAAAAATATGAGATACATAGCACGCCGGATGTTGACGGGAAAGATTCAGTTGAGAGGGATAAACTGATGAGGAAAAGAGGGAAGAACTACTGGAGCAATGCCCTGTTGTAGAGGACACAGAATAGAAGTGAATTCCCAAGTCAAGGGGCTGGCTTTGGCTAAAAGTACAGACACTGGTGGTAGATAGAAGGCATCGTTAATGAGAGGGGACTTTGTGGATAAGGGAAGAAAAAGGTTTCTTTTACATATAAGAGAGTGTGGGCAGAGACCCAGAGGGACAAGTGGGGAGCTGGGAGGGGCCGTGGCTGTGGGAAGGGGGAATGGTATGCAGAGGCAAAGCTAGAAAGCAGGAGGTAGAGAGGGATTCTGGAAGTTACTACGGAAACTTTTTATTAGGGCCCAAGCAGTTGGTGGCAGTGTGAGTGTGTAGGTGGGCAGGGAAAGGTGGTTAAAAGTTGCTGCTGATATCTGTGCAGCAGGTGCTCTTGGAAGACTGTATCAGCAGGAGAGATCACAGAAAAAGCTCTAAATGCATGGAACCTGAGCAACAGCATGGGGCTGGAGATAGAGAAATAGGGCAAGGGTGGCATCCCAGTGCTCAGTGAGATGAGGGACCAAGGAGGTTATATGGGTGGGAGGAGAGGACAGGGAAGCAGGAAGATAAATAGGCTGCCCTGAGAAGATGGGAGGGACATCGATTTTGGACAGCTATTATCCCTCAGGAGATGGCACCTCTGCATTCCCCTTCTGACCTACCACAGAGGAGCCAAGAGCTACAGAAAGGCCAAGAAGTACTGTGACTTCTTTATGACATGTTTTGAGGGACAGTGGGATGCCCCTGGTTCCTAAGGAAACCCAGGATCACTCACCATCCCATCATGAGGAGGAGGTGGCAGTACTTGCTTCCTCTGATGGGACCCCAGCATTTAGCACAATGTGTCCACTGCTTGGATACAGAAGAGGCAGGATGGGAAGAAACATGGATATGTCCCTGCTCTGAATGCTGATTCTGTGCCTAAGGGTTGGGGGCCCACCCCATGGATGGTCTCCAGGATGGAGAAGCACAAGGTTCAGGCCTGCTGAACCAACACTCAACAGGTGTTTTTCTAAAGCATCCCCAAAGATCAAAGGAGGTCTTGTGACAGGCACATCCTCCCTGCCTGGTGGGAGTGGGGCAGGCAGCCACACAGCTAGGAGAATAGAGGGAAGCCCAGAATGAAGGGAATTGACTCAGGAGGGTCACAGCAGCATCAGGTAGGGAGCCAGGGGTTAGCATGCACACATCCTGGTTTAGGGTGGAGCAGGTCCTTCCCATGGTTCCCTGCAGGCTCCTACCTGCTTGAGGCCAGCATGGGCTCATGCTGCTGACAGAAGTCCCAGGGGCAGAGAAATGAGCTGAAACTGATAGCTTCAGGATTCTGAGTTCTTGGCAAAGTCAAGAGCTAAGAGAAATAGGGGTCATAGCCTATGACTTATGTGGAATGCTGATGGTGGATGAAGCCTTGCTCATCCCATAATCCCTGCATAAATCCATGTTCTATCTTCCCCAGGGTGAAGAGAGGCAAGAAGCAAAAGTCACATGAAGGGTATAAACTCAAGAATTTACTACTTCAGGTTTGGGGGTAGATGCTAGGAATACATCAGTGCTTGCTTGGGATCTTTGGGTTCACCTCTGGCACACTCAGGTAACAACATGTCATGGTGAATGGCCCCAACCTTCTAGAGCTCTTCTCTTGGGCTTTCCAGAAGGGCACTTCGGAATTGGCTGGAGGGAATTTCAGGAAACCGACCACCAGCAGTGGGAGGAGGGTGGCTTCTCCACAACATCACTTGTGTTCAACGCTGAGTTGTTGAGGGCAGGGACTGTGACTGCTTCACTTCTATACCTGCTCACTGCAGCCCAGGCAGGGAGGGCAAGGGACACAGGATGAACACAGGAATAGACTCCATGGAGACACTGCTTCCTGCACCATGTGGGAGGTGGCTGGGCCTCTGCTGCTTAACCAGACAACCAGGGCCGAATGCTCTACCTGGCCTCTGGAGCCCATGGTCTAGGCCAGGCCTGCCATAGATGGAAGGGCCAGAATGGCCTCTGTGTCCACTGCAGGGACAGAGGAGAAGGGAGGACTTCCTTGAGCTCAGGTGGCAATATGACAGATAAGCACAATCCAGGCATGTAAAGTGCTTAGGGACACAAAGGACCAGATGCCTCACAGGGCTGACCAGGCTTACAGAGGTCTGTGCATTCTCATGCCCGGAGACAGTGAGGCCAGGACCCTGGGAGAGCATGGGGAGGGAGAGGGGGGCCTGGGAAGAGGCCAGTGAGATCCAGTTTCCAGAAGGAGGGGTGGGTGCTGCCAACTACCCCCCTTTCCTGCCTTGTCCCTCTCCTCCTCTATAAACTTCTCTCGTGTTCTTGCCTGGTCCACAGCCAGGCAAGTAGCATACTAGGGGATTTCCAGAGTGTATCAATTCCAAGGTCAGGCCTACTACAAAGGCCACAGGGGCGGGTCCCTGGGCAGGCAGACTGACCCATGGGAATCCAGACGGTGGGAAGGGAAGCCCTCCTTGCAGTAAATTGTGCTAGCAGCTAGGGTGTATCAGGGCAGAGGGGGAAGATACGGTGAGGGGCCAGGGCAGAATTACACACATATGGTTTTGCCATAATGGCAAAAACCACAATTACTTTTGCACCAACCTAAGAGTTCAGAGTAAGCACAAACATGTCAAGAAAAACACACTTATGTCTTCCTTGGACATGACTTGGGTGTTCTTGGACTCATGAACTTGGATTTGGGTGTTCATGAGTCCTTGGGTGTTCAAGGACTCATGAACACCCTGCATCAGACATGCTCGAGCAAACAGTCAAAAATGCACAGACACAAAGACAAGTTGACAAGTTTGCACACAGAACAGACAGCCCATCTTACAGACCCACAGACACAAATGCAGTCCAAATCCATCCTGCAAAGACCCTCTCCTCCATAAATCCTCTAGGCTACCTCAGACCAGGCTCATCTCTCCTTTAAACTTTGGTTTGTCATTTCTGTCCCATTGCTTGTCCTTTAATAGGATAGTTTTGGTTTCACATGCATACCTCTGGTCTCAACAATGTGGCTGTGTGCTCTTAAAGAACGTCAGGGTCAGGAAGAGAGTCCTCTTCAGCAGCCTCATCCTTCGCCTATACACCCATCACCCTGAGGGCCCCCAATTTACTGCTGGCTCCATCCTTGAAGGGTCCTGACTCTCAGACTCTTTGACATAGCAGACACAAGGGAAGAACAAACCACGTAGACACACTTAGTCCACGTTATCCTCGGGAAACCATGAAGAACCAGGTCCTGGTTCCCCAGTTAGAAAACCCTTACACAAGACATGATCTCATATGTAGCTCTAGCCTAAACTTTATGTTAACCACAATCCCACCCCTATCGACCACACCTCTAAACCCAACTCCAACCCCATTTCCAAAGAAACCTCTAAACCATAGTTTTTCAAATAAGAAGGAACAACTGTACCTCAGACAGGTAATACTAGTGACTGTGATCCAAAATGTTTACATGGCCAAATAAGTTTGAGATAGAAAACTGATCCGCCCTCTCCCCAGCAGCTTAATGCCTACCTTCCCTAGCTGGACCACAGCTATAGTGACCACTCTGTACCCATGAACTGTGGAGGACCCAGAAACAGCAAACAACCTGTCATCTATACAAGATTAACACATGTTATGCATAAGCCTAAGTCCCTCTCCACACTATCTTGAAAGCTTAAAATCAGCCTCCAACACAAAATTTATCTCTTTGTCTAAATTCTAAATGCCAGCAGTGCCTTACTCCAACCCTAACACCTTCCTCATCTAAGATACACCAACTTCTATCAACAGGAACCACAAACCTAGTTCCAAACCCTACTTTAATATCACCATGATTCCCACCCTATCCTTACCACTACCTCACTCCAAACTGGAACCATAACATCAATGCTGTTCTAAGCATAATTCTAACTCTAACTGTAACCCTAGGTAGCTATACATTGAGGAATACATACATCTATGCTAGGCACACACATTTTGCACACATATGTGTCATATATTTCCCCAGGAGCTCAGGAGATCTTTCAATAACAGCTGCACAGTCCATGGGGCATCTTGTTTGGGAAGACTCAATGCTCACCTGGGAACCCAGGAACAGCCATGCCCCCAGACTCTGTGACCCTTGTCGGATATACAGGCCTATAGGGCCCAGCCCACTCCAAATTCTGTTGCAGAACTAGCCCAGCCCTTGAGCTGAAATTCCCACCGTACCCCTCTGTGGCTCTTACCTGCCAAGCTGGGAGCATCTCCTGCCCTGGAAACTCTACCAGGCGAGAGCAAACAGGCCCTGAGGGTGAAGGGAGTGTGGTCCTTTCCAATGTGGGGATTTCCAGACTCTTGCAACACCCAAACCTAGGACGTCTACTCCAGAACTGGCCCAGGTGCCTGTCCTAGAGAGGTAGTGGGCCTGCTAACACTGTGGCTGAGGTAGATGTGAATAAGCACAGTTCCTCTCACCTTCCAGGATCTCAGTCTGGTGATAGAGTGTTAGATCTGAATTCATCATCACAGGTAGGGCTGAAGTCATGTGTGGCTCAGTCTCTTCTCGGCTGCCTCAGTGCCTCCCTCTCAAGCTTCCAGGTTCGCCCACAGACCAGAGTGTGGGCAGAGACTCACTATCCCATTCTTGCTCTCAGGGCAGCTGTTTTCTGACCTAGTTTTTCATCCAGCCAGGTTTCCACCTCCAGCAAAGCTTCCCCCCTTTCCTTTGGGCTCCTAACTTTTTTCTAAGCCACAGGACCAAGCAGGGAGGCCCCAACGTCTCCAGGATGGAACATCTCTCTGAGGCTGCTCAACCACTGAAGGCTCTAGGTGACAGGTAGGGGCTTAGAGTCTATACTAGAAAGAGCTTCCTGAATCTAGAAAAGGTAGGCAAGGATGGGACCCGAAGGTGCTGTGGACACCATCTGACACTAACAAATGGCCTCCTGGATGGCATGACCAAGGGCAAAGGGACAACAGGATGTTTTGAGTGAGATAGGGAAACTGGGATTCTAGGAGAGGAAGAAGCACAGCCCCTTCCTCTTCCCTGCCATGTTCCCCCTAGCTTTCTCAGAGGCAGTGCCAGGCTGGAAAGTCCCTTCCCTAGGTGAGCACCACTCCAGCTTCTTCGGACAATCTTTTTTTTTTTTTTTTTTTTTTTTTTTTGAGACGGAGTCTCGCTATGTCGCCCAGGCCGGACTGCGGACTGCAGTGGCGCAATCTCGGCTCACTGCAAGCTCCGCTTCCCGGGTTCACGCCATTCTCCTGCCTCAGCCTCCCCAGTAGCTGGGACTACAGGCGCCCGCCACCGCGCCCGGCTAATTTTTTGTATTTTTAGTAGAGACGGGGTTTCACCTTGTTAGCCAGGATGGTCTCGATCTCCTGACCTCATGATCCACCCGCCTCGGCCTCCCAAAGTGCTGGGACTACAGGCGTGAGCCACCGCGCCCGGCCGGACAATCTTTTTTTTTGCTTCCTACTGCGTCTGTGCCCAGATGAAGTACGAATGAGGAGCAGAATAGATCCACATGGCTCTTCTGGCTGCACCTCACCAAATGCTGGGCTACCTGCACAGCAGAATCCTGGATAACCTGGTAAAAACAAAGATTCTTTGGCTGTACTCTGATGATATCCTATTTAGGAACTGATGTAATGCCTCTAATTCTGTTTTTTAAACAAGGTCCACAAGTGATTCTGACGGGCCTCCAAGTTTTGGAAACTGTCATCCATTGCAATATATTATTCTGGAATCACGCACATAACAACCCTACCACATATACACACTAAGCTCATGACATCCTGCCTTTCTTGGAAGTACGGAATGAGAAATGACTGCTAATGGGTATAGAATCTCTTTTTGGAGGTATGAAGATACTCTGAAATTAGTCATGATAGTTTCATAACTGAATATTCTAAAAACCAATGAATTGTGAACTTTAAAATATGAATTTTATAGTATGTGAATTCTATCTCTATTTTAAAAAGACAAAGGTGAAATAAAAGACTTTTTCAGAGATATAATGGCTGAAACAATTCATCATCAACAGAACTTTATGAAAAGAAATTTTATAGAAAGTCCTTCAGGCAGAAGGCAAATATTACCATACAGTAATCTGGATATACACCAAGAAATGAAGAGCAGAAATGATAACTATGTCGGTAAATGTAAGATCTCTTTTCTTAATTTTTAGTCACTCTAAAAGATAATGGATTTTAAAAATAATTAAATGAAAAATAATGATAATGTCAGGTTACGTTTAGAAAAAATAGACATAAAATGAATGACAATAGCACAAATGCCAGGAGATACAGAAGTAGAAAAGAAACTAATGTTTTTAGGCTATAAGTGGAATAATACTACTTGAAGATTGTATCAGTTAGAATTTAATTAAGGAAGCATAACCACTAGGAGATATTTTATACAAATAAAAGTTTAAGTATATATTAATATGGGTTTATTGAAGGGATTTGGCCTTATTGAGTATGAGAGCTGGTTAAGAAATCTTAGATACTACTGTCTTTACCTCTGATACTAGAGATTGAAATCCATAAGGTGGGAATCAGGAGTAAAGGTGGATATAAAATGAGAGATAAGACTAGGAAGGACCAAGCAAGCATGAGCTGGGTCTCATGATGATGGAGCAAAATTCATGTCAGTTCTGCTGTCACTGATCTTAGTGGTGTGAGTGTCCTGCAGAGATCAAGACTCTTCAGCAGGAAGCTACACACAGGCACTTGGCTCAGGCGTTAGAGAGCCTGATGGAGGATCCAGGGAAAGATGGGGCACTTGCAGACCCACCCACTGCCACCCACCAGCAAGTTGAGCCAGTAAATAGGAGACGTACATATACTACAAAATAGCTGCTACCTCACTTCTGCTTTCCAAGCCCCTATAAAAATCTGTCCTGTGACCCATCATAACCATAAACATAAAGGAAAGGGAACCCTGAGAAATTCAGTTCAACTCGTCCAAAATGACACATTACAAAATCATCACAAAGATAAAGAAGTATATGCCCTAAAACAACCATTATAGAAATAAACGTCATAAACCAAAAAGATGAGTAACAACAACAAAGGAGAAAGAAATAAATAAAATGTTTTAAATCATAAAAAGAAAAAGGAAGCAAAGAATATGTGGGACAAATAGTAAATGGCAAGATGGTAGATTTAAACACAATCATATCATTAATTACCTTAAATGTAAATGTTCTAAAAATCCTAATAAGAGGCAAAGCTTGTGATACAGGATTTTTTTTTAAGTAAGACCCAACAACATGCTGCCTTCAAGAAGCCCACTTTATGGGCAAAGGACATGAACAGACACTTTTCAAAAGAAGACATACGAGTGTCCAACAAACATATGAAAACATGCTCAACAGCACTGATCATTAGAGAAATGCAAATCAAAACCACAATGAGATTCCCTTTCACACCAGTCAGAATGGCTATTATTAAAAAGTCAAAAAATAACAGATGCTGCAAGATTGTGGAGAAAAAGGAATACTTACACGCTGCTGATAGAAATGTAAATTAGTTGAGCCATGTGGAAAGCAGTTTGGCAATTTCTCATAGAACTTAAAACAGAAGTACCATTCAACCCAGCAATCCCGTTATTGGGTATATACCCAAAGGAATATAAATCATCCTACCATAAAGACACATGCACACAAATATTAATCACAGTAGTATTCACAATAGCAAAGACATGGAATCAACCTAAATACCCATCAATAATAGACTGGATAAAGAAAATGTGGTACATATATGCCATGGAATACTACGCAGCCATAAAAAAGAATAAGATCATGTCCTTTGCAGGGACATGGAGGAGCTGGAAGCCGTTATTCTCAGCAAATAAACACAGGAACAGAAAACCAAACACCACATGTTCTCACTTATAAGTGGGAAGCTAAACATTGAGTACACATGGACACAAAGAAGGAAACAACAAATACTGGGGCCTACTTGAGGGTGGAGGGTGGAAGGAGGGTGAGGATCGAAAAACTACCTATCAGTACTACGTTTATTACCTGGGTGATGAAATACTCTGCATAACAAACTCCTGTGTTCACACAATTTACCTATATAACAATCCTGCACATGTACCCCCTTAACCTAAAATAAGAGTTTTTTTAAAAAAAGAAACCCATTTTAAATATAAAGACACAAGTAAGTTTAAAATGTTATGTGTGGATATATATAATATATACATTTATATATATTTATATTTATATAATGCTAATATTATTCAGAAGAAAGGTGGAGTGGCTATATTAATATTAGTCAAAATAGATTTTATAGCAAGGAATACTACCAGATTAACGATCATTTCAGAATGGTAACAGGTTCAACTCATCAAAAGGATATAAAAATCCTAATGTTTAAACATCTAGTAGCACAGCATCAAAGTACAGGAAACAAAACCTGATAGAATTGCAAGGATGAATCCACAATTAAAATTGAAGATTTCCAGCCCCTCTCACAATAATTGGGAAAATAAATACACAGATCAGTAGCTTACAGAAGATTTGAACAATACTTGGAAGCAACTTGACATAATTAACATTTGTAGATGATTTCATCCAACAACAGCAAAGTACACATTCTTTTCAAAAACACACAGAACAGTTAGCATCATATACCACATTCTGGGCCATAAAATAAGACTGAATAAATTTAGAAGTTTTCCATTATACAGAGTATGTTCTCTAAATACAATAGAATTAAGTTAGAAATCAGTGGCAGAAAGATATCTGGAAAATCCTCAAATATTTGGAAACTAAATAACATACTTCTAAATATCTCATGGATAAAGCAAACACTCAAAAGGAGAATTAAAAATATTCTGAACTAATGGAAATTGAAAATGTAATGTATCAAAAATTGCGGTATGTAGCTAAAGCAGTTAAATTTATAAACAAATTTTATAAATACAAATTTAAAGGGAAATTTATAGCAATAAATACCGATATTAAAGAAATAGAAAAATCTCAAATAAATTAAGATTCCACCTTAATAAACTAGGAAAAGCAAAGTCAATTAAACACAAAGAAAGCAGAAGGAAACAATAAAGATAGCAGAAATCAATACTATAGAAAACAGAAAAACAATATAGAATCTTAATGAAATCAGAAACTGATTCTTTGAGAACAAATGACAAAACTAGTCAGATTGATCCAGTAAAAAAGAGAGAAGACACAAATTACCAATATCAGGAATTGAGGAGTATTATAAAACAGTCTACAGGTATTACAATGAGAAAAGGAATATTATGAATAACTTTATGCCAACAAATTTAACAGATTAAATAAAATTTAATTAAAAGATATAAACTATAAAAGTTCACTCCAGAAGAAACAGATAACCTGAATAGCCCTACATCTAATACAAAACTTGAAACTGTCATTAAAAGCTTTCACATGAAGAAAATTTTAGACCCAGATGGTCTTACCAGTATTCTATTAAACACTGAAGGAAGACTACTACCTACCAAATCTCCACAAAATCTTCCATAAAACTGAAGACAAGATAGTACTTGCCAACTCATTCTGAGGTGAGCACTATTTTTTAAAAAAAATTATATAGACGGGGTCTCACAGGCTGATCTTGAACTCCTGGCTTCAAGTGATCCTCCTGCCTCAGCCTCCCAAAGTGCTGAGATTACAGAAATGAGCCAGTGTGCCTGGGCAAAGTGAGTACTGTTTTAATGCTAAAAGAGGCAAATTACAAGAAAAATATAGCAAGTACCCTTCGTAATCAAAGACACTAACTTCTTAAGAAAAATTTAGCAAACAAATTGAACAATATATAAAAAAATACAAATTTTCATGACTAAGTGGGGGTACGCCATGGGAATGCAAGGCTGGTTAAACATTTGAAAATCAGTTAATGTAATCTGCAACATCAATAGGTTAAAGACGAAAAAACAGTATGATCAACTCAATAGATGCAGAAAATACATTTGACAAAATCCAAGATTGTTCATGACAAAAACACTCAGAAAACCAGGATAGATGAGAACTTCCTCAACATGATAAAGGGCATCTACAGAAGTCCTACAGCTAATATCATATTCAGTGGTAAAAGATTGAACACTTTCCCCTACTATCAGGAACAATGCAAGGAAGCCCACTCTCACCACTCCTTTTCAACATAATACTCAAGTTAGCCAATGCAATAAAACAAGATAAAGAAATAAGAGATACAAGATTGCAAAGGAACAAATAGTGCCCCTATTCACAAGCAACATTATTGTCTCTGTAGACAGTCTCACAGATAAAAAGATAGCAGAACTAGTGAGTTTAGTAAGGTCACAAAATATAAAGTAAATATGCAATAATCAGTCATATATCTATGTATTATCAATGAACAATTTGAAAAAAATTTTGAGTATCATTTAGAATAGCACCAGTGTGGTATTGGAATAAAGACTCAAAACACAGATCTATGAAACAGAATAGAGATTTCAGAAATAGATTCCTACATATATGGCCAATTGATTTTCAACAATAGTCTTCAATAGATAGTACTAGAACAATTGCATATTCTCACTTTTAAAAAGAACTTCAATCCTATATCTTGTTCCATACACAAAATTACTAGTCCAATAACAAAATGATCCATAAAAGAAAAAAATTGATAAATTCTACCTCATCAGAATTAAGAACTTCTGTTCTTTAAAAGACATGGTTGAGAGAATGAAAGGACAAGCCACGCTCTGGTAGAAAATATTTGCAAATCACGTGTCTGATAAAGAACTTGTATTCAGAATATATAAAGACCTCTCAAAACTCATTAAGTAATTTAAAAAAACAAACAACTCCCACAAAAAGAAGATATAAGAGATTGTCCCCAGGACTTTGGGAGGTGAAAGCAGGAGGATCGTTTGAGGCCAAGAGTTTGAGACCAGCCTGGGCAACATAGTGAGACCCTGTCTCTACAAAAAATAAAAAAATTAGCTGGGCACAGTGATGTGCACCTGTAGTCCCAGCTACTTGGGAGACTGCGACAGGAAGATGGCTTGACCCCAGGAGTTTGAGGCTGCAGTGAGCTATGATTGTGCCACTACACTCCAGCCTGGGAAACAAAGTAAGACCCTGTCTCTGAAAAGAAAATTAATAATACAAATGATAAAAAGAAATGGTCAAACAAACATATAAAGAGCCTCTGCATTATTAGTCATTGAGGAAATATAATTAAAATCACTTAGTTAAAAATAATTTATATTTCAAAATAGCTAGAAGAAAATATTTAGAGTGTTCTCAACACAAAAATATTATCTGTCCTAGTTGATTTAAACAATCCTAATAATGACTTTCTAAAATGATTTCATGATCTATTATTGGATCTATACACAACCTGAGAGGATCATTTTAAAGTTTTAATTAAAGAACTACCACTTTTTCTTTTGATTTGAAAATGATCACCTCTAAGAGACAAGGGCAACATGTGAGGTATGAGGTTAAGTTTTGCCTTTGACTGGAGTGGTACAAGAACAAATTGCTCAAACTTGTCCTGAGAGTCTGTGTGGTTGGGAGGTCTAGCGATGGATAGTTACTAATATGACTTTGACTGAAGAAGAAACGTCTACTCCATGCAAGAAACTTATTGCTATGGTCTGAATGTGTCTCTCCAAAATCCATTATATTGAAACTTTATAACCAATGTGATGGTGTTAGGAGGTGGAGACTTTGGGAGGCTCAGCCCTCATGAATGGGATTGGTGCCCTTATAAAAGAGTCCCCAGAGAACTGCCTCACCCCTTTCACCATGGGAGGACACAGCGAGAAGGCACTATCTATAAACCAAAAAGCAGGCCCTCACCAGATACCAAATCTGCCAGCATCTTGATCTTGGAATTCCTAGCTTCCTACACTATAAGAAATACATTTCTATTGTTTATAAGCTACCTGATTGTGGCATTTTGTTATAGCAGCCTAAATGGACTGACACTGATCCTCTTTGATCTGTGGGGATACGTAAAAAGAATGTTGATTGCAGCACTGCTTATAGCAGTAAATAGGTAGAACAACCTCAAAAAAGGAATTATTTGATAAATTGTAATATATTCATGCTATGAATAAGAAAAGAAAACAACACTGCTTTAATCCAGTGAGAACACAGTGACTCATCAGTGACTCCATTTGCAAACTGGATCAGCTGTATTTTCAGCACAGGATGGTGTATGCAGAAGTTCCAGTGGGAAGATGGAGAAATGAGTGAATTGCAAAAGTTTACCCTAAAACTTAAAGTATAATAAAAAAATAAAAATAAAATAAAATAAAATAAAAAATAAAAAAGCTTATCAGTTATAATATTTATATTTGAAAAAACATTTAAACCCCCTCATTTTTTATGTCATGCAGACTATGAAAGGCAAAACTCAACATCTTAGCTATCTGCTTCCTAGGAATATGCAGACAGCTCTAGTTCATCAAATAGTGGAGCAAACCTGTCCCCTGAGGAGCATCAGAATTTAGGAGGAGAAGCATCCATGAGACTGCTATATTCATCAGAAAGAGGGCATGGCCTAAAAAGTCTTAAAATATTGATTTGTAGTCCTGGAAGTCTTCAAATTAGTATGGAAACATACTAAATTCACTTTTTTTAGACCTGCTCACTGGAGGAATATCAAGGCTATGCATATTTAAAACAAATACACACAGAAACCCCAAAATGTTTTCCAGCCCTGACCATGGGATCTGTGAGGGCAGAAATCCATTGAGTAGAATTATTAAAGGAAGGGGGCCAGGCATGGTAGCTCACGCCTGTAATCCCAGCACTTGGGGACGCCAAGGCAGGTGGATCACAAGGTGAGGAGATAGAGACCATCCTGGCTAACACGGTGAAACCCTGTCTCCACTAAAAATACAAAAAATTAGCTGGGCGTGGTGGCGGGCGCCTGTAGTCCCAGCTACTCGGGAGGCTGAGGCAGGAGAATGGTGTGAACCCAGGAGGCGGAGCTCGCAGTGAGCCAAGATAGCGCCACTGCACTCCAGCCTGGGTGACAGAGCGAGACTACATTTCAAAAACAAACAAACAAACAAAAAAAGAATTCTTAAAGGAAAACAAAGTCCAAATCCAAATAATAACAACACAGATTAACCAAGTCATTTTTAAGGTGACATAGCTTTAGTTTTGGGAGGAAATTGTGCGGAAGCAACCAATTAGGCTAATGCCCTTGATGCTTAACTGAGGTGAGTATCAAACTTTTGGACACTTTGATTAAAAGAGATGTTGCTCCAGTATTCAAGATATGCAGCTGCAGTGCTTGAGAAATTAACAAAATCAGCTTTAGCTTCTAGAAAAACAAATGGTAGTGATTGTCAAGAATTGTGCCAAGCGCGGTGGCTCAAGCCTATAATCCCAGCACTTTGGGTGGGCAGATCACCTGAGGTCGGGAGTTCGAGACTAGCCTGGCCAACATGGCGAAACCCTGTCTCTACTAAAAGTACAAAAATTAGCTGGCCATGGTGGCGGGCGCCTATAATCCCAGCTACTCAGGAGGCTGAGGTAGGAGAATCACTTGAACCCGGGAGGCAGAGGTTGCAGTGAGACGATATCGTGCCACTGTACTCCAGCCTGGGTGACAAGAGTGGGACTCCGTCAAAAAACAAAAGAATTGTACAGGATCTGCGATTTTATTTGCAAGTTAACAAACTATCCTACTACTGTTTCATGAATGCTGGCAGAAGATCCAAGACTCCCAAGTCAGAGATAAAGGACTTTATTACTCACAGTACAGCCACAGCAAAAGCCTCATCATGTTTTTTTTTGCATCAGTTCCCCTTGTCTCCTAAGTCCCATGAGACTGGCACAGCATCTATGATAGATGCCTGCACATGCAGTGGGCTGCATTACAGTAGAGAAACACTGAACTTTGGGGACTCACTGCTTTTACAGTAAGAAGAAACAAGCCTGATCTTTGTTCATGAGTAGACATTACCTTAACCCTAAAAGTTGCTTGTTGTAAATATAACGCTGAGAAATGGACAAGAAACAGTCAGAACCTTGCATTCTTGGCATCCCTAGTATGGCCCAGGACAGGTTGCCTCTCTCAACGGTGATTAGTGATAGGTAAAAATAAATGGCTAGTAAGAAAAAACAAGACAAAACAAAACAGAAAATTGGCTTTCCTTGTGCTAGTAGAAGTCCTAGGAAAGACACTTGGGTTAAAAAGGAAATCAATTAACAAAGACCCCCACAAATTATGCTTAATGATTACTTCTTTAGCTGGTAGGTGGAATTGAGGTTTCCTGTTTCCTTATTAAGGAAGAAAAGAGAGATAGAAAACATAATCACAGGAACAGTATGAATGTCAAAGAATCTGTGGTAACTTGAGAAGGGTTTGGAAAAAACTTCTGGGCAAAATCAAAGGTGGTGCTAAACAACAATGGGACAAGAAAATAGAATAGACCTATCTGGCTGAATGAAATGAGAGTAAATGGTGAACCTAAACCTCTTCTTGCTATTGTTGGTGGGGACGGTCTCTAACATGGCCCCTCATGATCCCACCTCCTGGTGTTCATGCTTTGTGTAATCCCATCTTCTTGAGTCTGTGGGTGGATATGTGACTTGATTCTAATTAACAGAACATGGCAAAGGTGAGCAGAAGTCACTCCCATGAAGACATTGCATTATATAACTTCATCTTCTAGCACACTTGCTCTGGCTTAATGAAGTGGCCATGTTGGGAAGGCCCACATGGCAAAGAACTGCAGGTGGACTTTAGATACTGAGAGTAACCTCCAGTTGACATCCAGCAAGAAGCCAAGGTCTTCAATCCTAAAACTGCAAAGAAATGAATTCTGCCAACAATCTGAGTGAGCTTGGAAGAAGATTCTTCCCCAGTCAAGCCTCCAAATGAGAATGCTGCCCAGACAACACCTTAACTGCAGCCTATGAGACCACAAGCAAGGATCAAGCTGGACTCCTGACCCGCAGAAACTGTGAGATAACAAATTGTATGTTGTTTTAAGATACCACATTTCAGGTCATTTGTTACATAATAATAGAAAACCAATATAACGCTGTAGCCATGATTGAAACAGAAGTGTTTGTCAGGTAGCAATGCATATGTGGGTAGCATGGAATTTGAACAGCACCTGCTTAATGTGCAGTGAGACTATTTATAAAGGCAAGCAGAGGTAGGAGGAAGATATGACTGCTCCATAGCATGAGCTAAGGAAGAAATGGGGAAGAAAAAGGCATCTGGGAAATCATCACCCTCAGCTCATCCTATAAAGAAATCTACAAAGCTGTGGAGAATCTGAAGCCCTAGGCAGGAAGGAACCACCTCATCCTGCATGTTAACTGTAAAGTATCTTTATGTGCTTTCACTGGCTTCTTATATGTGAGTGGCAGATTTTTATAAAAGGCTTTAAAAACGTAACAGTGATCTTGAGGAAAATGTCAGGTGGGGGATGGGGCAAGAGGACTAAAGCAAAAGAAACTTCTGAAAATGGAAGCAAGGAAACACTAAAAATCAGTGGGTTTCACAGAAAAAGGAAGTCTCAATTTTCTTTGATCTCAGGAGGAAGGAACAATCGGGATAGTTCCCACTGCTTTACGAAGTGCAAGTGTTCACGAGTCACTGAATAAATGCTGTAAAGATGACTGGGGAAAGCAAAGGGTTTATTTGAGATCACAGCGTCAGCACCCTTTCTTTAGGTCAAAGTGGGCCAGACAGGGCTGAGGAGACCAAATCTTCAGAACTTGTTTCTAGAAACTATGGAGTCACAAGCTCATCATATCCAGTCTGCTTCCTCAGAGACAGAACCTGAATGGTGAGTTGGGTTTAGCAGGGATGATGGTATGTAACCAATACAATAAATATAGATGATTTCTTTGACATCAGGGAAGAGCTACTAAATTTTGGAATTGAGATGGTTTCCATACCACATTTCATTTCTCTTAAATATACACATCAGTATATAGCAGAATTGCCAGGTCATATAGAGATTCTTTTTAACTTTTTGAAGAACCACGAAATGTTTTCCACAGCAGCTGCACCATTTTACATTTCCACCAGCAATGCACCAGGGTTCCAATTTCTCCACATTCTCACCACACATTATTTTCCTTTTTTTTAAATAGCCATCCTACTGGGTATGAGGTAATATCTCATTGTGTACGTATGTGTTTGTTTTGTCTGTTTTAATTGGGGCTGGGTCTCCTGTGTTGCCCAGGCTGATCTCAAAGTCCTAGGCTCAAGTAATCCTCCTGCCTCAGCCACCGCCAAGTAGCTGGGATTACAAGCACATGTCACTGCATCCAGCTTCACTGTAGTTTTGATTTGTATTTTCCTAACGACTAATGATGTAGAGCATGTTTTTAATGTGCGTATTGGTCGTTTGCATATCTTCTTTGGAGAAATGTCTATTCACATCATTTTCCCATTTCTAAATAAAGTTGTTTCTTTCTTGTTGAGTTGTAGGGTTCTTTATATATACTGGATATTAATCCTTTATCAGATATATGATTTGCAACTATTTTCTCCTATTCCATGGGCTGTCTTTTCACTTTCTTTATGGTATTCTTTTATGCATAGAATTTTTAAGATATTGATATTTTATCTGTTTTTTCTTTTGTTACTCATGCTTTTGGTATCAAAATCTAAGAAATTATTGCCAAATCCAAGGCGATAAATATTTTCTCCTGTTTCCTTCTAAGAGATTTTAGCCTTGTCTTAGTCTATTTAGCCTTGTCTTAGGCTATTTAGCCTTGTCATTTTAGCCTTGTCTTAGTCTATTTTGTGCTGCTATAACAGAACAAGAAATTTATATCTTACATCTCTGGAGGCTGGGAAGCCCAAGATTGAGGGTCCACTTTCAGTGAAGGCCTTCATGTGGCATCATTTCATGGCAGAAGGTGGAAGGGCAAGAGAGCACGTGAGAAAGCAGGAGAACAAGACAGCCAAACTCGCTCTTATAACAAACCCCCTGCCATGACTTACCCATTCCAGAGATAATGTCAATTAATTTATGAGGGCAGAGCTCTCAAGACCTAATCACCTATTAGGCCCCACCTCTCAACACGGTTGCATTGAGAATTAAGTTTCCAACACATGAACTTTGGGAGACACATTCAAACCATAGTAGCTCTTAAACTTAAGCAAGAGTACATTCTTGCTTCTTCCTCTCCTTGACATTTCTTTCCAAATAAAATCTGTGAAAAACAGATTTCATGAGTTTAATCTTTGTAACCTTGGTCAAATTGCTTAATCTTTCTAAATCTCATTTTAGAAGGGGATAATTTCACAAAGCTGTTGTTAAGAGTTACATGAGATGTTTAAACATACCTAGTATAGTGCCTAGCACACTGGTGCTCAACAACCCTATACATCCTTTATTCTTTCGTTCAAAGGTCTTTTGTTCCAGGACCTGCCAAAGTCAGTTATTCCACTTGATCTTACTGCTTCCTTCTGGACGGTCAAACCCAGGGGCTCAAATCTCCTATCTTTCCTTTAGAGGCCTCACTTGTCCTCGTCCCCCGCTTGGGGCCCTGTGCTCTCGCAGCAGTTTCTACCTCCACTAAAATGCAGCCTGGAGCAACTGGGCTACCATGGAGAAGAAAAATCCGAATAGGGAAAGAGGGGAATGGAAAGAGATCCTACAAGGCCTCCACCTCTGGGCCACGGTGGTCAGAAGTGAGGACACATGTAGGCCTATAGGGAGATAAAGGCCAAAGTCCTTGGAGCCGTGGGAAGTCACTCATGGATCCCATGGGAGGATCCCCCTCCCCAGTCAGAGGTTGCTTCCCACAGTTCTAGGGCACAGTCTCAGGTCCTCCTTTTCTAGGGGGCCCTCTGGGGGCTCCACCATCACGAGGCTCCTGCAGCTCCCCTATGTTCCCAGGCGGTCTTCCATTGAGCCAGCTCGAGAGCACCTTTGTGCCTGCTCCCACAGTGACACAGAAGGGCTCCCTAAGGGCCAGTGCCCTCCACAGGGGGACTCCCCATGGCAGCAAATCCAGAGAGCACCCCGGGAGTCCATTCCCACAGCGGGTCTTCATGGCGGCGGTTCCCCGCAGCACCTCAGGGACTCCCCCCAATAGAGGCAGCTGTCACTCGGGGTTCATCCAGTGACACGGGGGCCACCTTGGAGGCAGCTCCCACGCAAGCACCTCAGAGTCCCCGGAGTACTGTCCACGGCCACAAACCCGCCCCTCAGGTGACGGCCCGGTCCCGCCGCCCCCGTCCCCACTTACCGGGGCCGTCCGGGGCCGGCGGACTCTATACTGCCGGCCCTGCGCTGCCCAGCGGAGCTCGAGGGCCGGCTTGCTGGGCTGAGGGCGGACAGCATGCAGCGCTGGCTGAGCTGCCGAGTTGAGGCGTGGGCGGCGGCGGCGGCGCGTGGGCGGCGGCGGCGCGTGCGCCCACGCGAGGCTTTCTTGGCCGGCAGGTGGGCGCGCGCTGCGTTCCGCCCCGCGCCCCCGCGCCCCGAGGTACTGGCCTCCCGAATCAGCTAGGGGCACCGGCGTGCTTACGGTGGGGGGACGCGGAAGTGGGGTTCCATGGGCTCGGATGAGTAGTGGGCCCAGGTGCCAGTTGGCGCCCTCTACGAGCGCCCTGGACTGCGGCGCGGGGACTGAAACAGCCGGCCAACTGCAGCAAGAACAGTGTCCGCCCGGAGGGGGCGCAGGGCTGAGGCCGCTAACACTTTGTTCCGCTCCTGCCCGTAAGGGTGAGAATGACTCTTCCAGCGACTTTCGCCCTCGTGCTCTCTCGCCAAGCTGCCCACCCTAGGCCTCCAGGCTCACGACGCTGGCATTCGGACACTCTCTGCAGTACTCCACAGGCCTCCGGAATGTCCAAATGACCCAACTCTGACTGTGCACTGTTTCCTGAGAGTATTGGTCTCCCATCTCCAGCAGGAAAGCTGGGCTGTCGTGTAACCCACTTTTTGCTGCAGCAACCTCATCCCTCAGACTATTCAAACAGCCAGCCGTTCTGAAGGCTTTAATGTGCATTACACCAGACCACGTGCTTCGAAGAAAGTGAGGGCAACACAAAGAATATCAAAAATAATTAAGCCACTGATAGCTAATTATAAAGAAATAACTGAAGAAGTACAAATGAAATGCTGAAGACCTTATTTAAATTATTTTATTTATATATTTATAGTTTATGTACATTTGGCATACCTTGTGTTTCCAGATGAATTCAATTTCTATACCGTAAAAAAGAATTCATCTCATCTTGTGGGGGATACAAACAAGAACTCATTTTGTCCTTACTGTCATGAAACTTACCAATAAGGACTATAAGGGAGGTATAGTATTTACTATGGTTTTTAAAATTTATTTATTTATTTATTATTTTTTTTTTTTATTATACTTTAAGTTTTAGGGTACATGGGCACAATGTGCAGGTTAGTTACATATGTATACATGTGACATGCTGGTGCGCTGTACCCACTTACTCGTCATCTAGCATTAGGTATATCTCCCAATGCTATCCCTCCCCCCTCCCCCCACCCCACAACAGTCCCCAGAGTGTTTGTTCCCTCCAAAACTCCCTGAAATTTAATTGCCCTTGTAATAGTATACAGAGGTGGACCTTTAGGAGGTGATTTGCCCATGAGGACTCTGCCCTTTTGGATGAGTTTAATGCCTTTTAAAAAGGGCTTTCAGGAGTCAGTTACTCTCTTGGCTCTTCTCCTCTGCCATGTGAAAAACAGCATTCCCCAACTCTGGAAGATGCAGTGCTCAAGGCACCATCTTGGAAGTAGAGACCAGGTCCTTACCAGACACCAAACTGTTGGTGCCTTGATCTTGGACTTCCCAGCCTCCAGAACTGTAAGAAATAAATTTCTGTTCATTATAAATCACCTAGTCTGTGGTATTTTGTCATAGCAGCACAAAATGGACTAAGGCAATACTATATTTTGCTATTTTTTTGGCGGGGGGATAGAGTCTCCCTCTGTTACCCAGGCTGGAGTACAGTGGTGTGATCATAGCTCACTATTGTCTCAAACTCCTGGGCTCAAGCAATCCTCCTCCCTCAGCCTCTGGAGTAGCTGGTATTACAGGCATGAGCCACCCACCCAGTTTGCTATCACTTTTAGACACAAAATGGTAGATGCTAAACACTACATACATATATAAGTCATTTAAACTTCACACTACTATGAAGTACTATACTTTTATTATTTTCATTATACAGCTATAGAAACTGAGGTGCAGAAAGATTAAACAACCTCCCTAAGGTCACATAACTTAATATGTGGAATCTAGGTATTCTGAATCCGGAGCCCTTACTCCAAATCAGGTTGACTGTACTGCCTCCAGGACCACCTTTAAAGTGTGGCAGGATCCCAGATAAATATGTTTTTGCAAGGATCTTAAGTGTGTAAACAATTTGATTAAAATATCTACTGCAAAATCCATGGACTCATATGAAGTGTAATGTTTTATTAATGAAGATTTGAAATAATGGCTAAGGAAGTGGTACTTACATATTTGTTTACTGTTATGTCAGTGCACGTAAAGCTTCTTGGTGGTGTCTAGGCACTGTTCTTGTTCAAGTCTAATTACCATCTCTTTCTGTCTTTATTATCAGATGCACCGCTTCTGGTTAATTTCACATCTCCCACATAACAAAAAGTAATGATGCTATTGTTACTCTTCAGAACCTGTTTGTATCAAGACAATATAGATCTTCTGCCTTTATGGCTTCCTATCACTTATTTAGCGCTAATTAAATCATCTTGCCACCTGTGAATACTGACTTCTAAAGACTCTCTCAGTGGTTATTACTGAATTTCATTAATGATGACCACAAATTCAAGTCTTATCCAGAGGATACGGTCAAATGTGAAATGATCACTTGTTTTCTGGATT
Organism: Homo sapiens; assembly: GCF_000001405.40. NCBI lineage: Eukaryota > Metazoa > Chordata > Mammalia > Primates > Hominidae > Homo > Homo sapiens. The sequence continues at coordinate 34,807,525 of NC_000009.12, read as the reverse complement.
GTTAAATATACCCTTTGGGATTTTATAATATAAATATAAATCTAGAACAACATGCCTTCCAACCACGGCTTTTCTTGAATCTTTTTTTAGGCCATAATCACTGCATTCCTTGAGTGAGCTCTTTCAATGTTTACTGCATCCCTACTTTACTCACACTGCCACTAGCAGAGAGAATAGGTGGGAGGCTGTTGACTTAGTGAGAGGAGCAATCCCGTTGGCAGAGGCTATCTGATACTCTTCTAGCACGGCTTAAGATCAACCAGGGAATACCCCCTTTATAATAAAAGTGCACAACAAACTAGGAATAGAATGAAATTTCCTTAATCTGATAAAGGGCACCTATTAAAAACTCAATAGTAGCATCATACTTAATGGTAAAAGACTGAATGCTGTCTCCCTAAGATCAGGAATAAAACAAGTATGTCCACTCTCACCACTTATACTCAACATTGTACTAGAGGTTCTAGTCAGGGCTGTAAGGCAATAAAATCAAGTAAAAAACATCCAAATGAGAAAGGAAAAATAAAACTATCTGCAGATGATATGATCTTGTATACAGAAAATACTAAGGAATCCACTTAAACAACCTGTTAGAATTAATAAATAAGTTCAGCAATGCTGCAAACTGCAAGATCAATATACAAACTTAATTTTATTTCCATGTACTTGAATGAACCATACAAAACTGGAATTTTAAACAATTCCATTACTAATAGCATCAAAACAATAAAATACTTACGAATAAGTTTTGCAAAACTTATAATCTGGGCCAGGCACAGAGGCTCATGCCTGTAATGCCAGCACTTTGGGAGGCTGAGGTGGGTGGATCACTTGAGGTCAGTAGTTCAAGACCAACCTGGCCAATATGGTGAAACCCTGTCTCTACTAAAAATACAAAAATTAGCTTGGCATGGTGGCAGGCACCTGTAATCCTGGCTACTCAGGAGGCTGAGGTGGGAGAATTGCTTGAACCCAGGAGGTGGAGGTCTCAGTGAGCCGAGATCGTGCCACTGCACTCCAGCCTGGGTGACAGAGTGAGACTCTGTCTCAAGAAAAGCACACACACAAAAAACCCCAAAACAACAACAACAACAGCAACAACAAACTTTTACTCTGAAAACTACAAACCATTGTTGAAAGAAATTAAAGAAAAGCTAAGTAAAGATTTTTTTAAACCCCATTTTCATGGGTTGGAAGACATCATTAAGATAATAATATTCCCCACATTGATCTATAGATTCAAAACAATGCCTCCCAGAATCCCAGCTGACATTGTTTTAGAAAGCGATAGATGATTCTAAAATTCATATAGAATTGCAAGAGACCCTGAATAGCCCAAGCAATCTTGAAAAAAAAAATAAAGTAAGAGGACTCACATTTCCCAATTTCAAAACTTATTGTGAAGCAACAGTAATTAAGTCAGTGTGGTACTGGCACAGGGATAGATATGTGCATCAGTGAAATAGAGTTAAGAGTACAAAAATAAGCCCATACATCTATGGACAACTAAGTTTCAACAAGGCTACCAAGATCAGTCAATGAGAAAATACAACAACAATGAAAATACATTCAACAAACAATGCTGGGCCAACTGTTTTCTTTTGTATCCACATACAAAAGGATGAATTTGGACCCTTACCTCACACCATACACAAAGTTGGATCTAAGACTTGAACAAAAAGCTAAAACTATAAAACTCTTAGAAGACAACATAAGGGAAAGCATTCATAATGTTGGAGTTGGCAATGACTTCTTGGATATGACACCAAAAGCACAGGCAACGAAAGAAAAAAATAGATAAATTGGACTTTATTGAAATTAAATAAAAACTTTTGCACATCAAAGGACTATCAAGGGAGTGAAAAGGCAACTCAAAAATGGAAGTAAGTATTTGCAAATCATATATCTGATAAGGGACTTGTATCTGAAATACATAAAGAACTCTTATAACTCAGTAACAGAAAGATAAATAACTAGATTTTAAAGTGCACGAAGGATCTGAATAGACATTTCTCAAAAATAAGTTATACAAATAGCCAATAAGCACATGAAAAGATGCTCAACATCATTAGTCATCAGAGAAATGCAAATCAAAACCACAGTGGGTGACCACTTCATACTCACTGGGATGGCTAGAATCAAAAAGTCAGATAACAACAAGTGCTGAGGAGGATTTGGAGAAATAGAACCCTCATACATTGCTGATGAGAATGTAAAATGGTGCAGTTGCTTTGGAGAACAGTTTGGCAGCTCCTCAAAGGGTTAAACGGAGTTGCCATATGACCCAGCAATTTCACTCCTAGGTATATTCCCAATAGAAATGAAAATGTATGTCCACACAAAAACTTTTACATGAATGCTCATGGCAGCATTATTTATAATAGCCAAAAGATGGAAACAACCCAAATGTTCATCAGCAAATAAATGGATAAACAAAATATGGTATATCCATACAATGGAATATTATTCAGCCATTAAAAAGAATGAAATACTGCTACATGCTACAGTGAACCTTGAAAACATAATGCTAAGTGAAAGAAACCAATCACAATAGATAGTATACTATATGATTCCATTAATATGAAAGTCCAGAATAGTAAAAGCTATAGAGACAGAAAGTAGATTACTGGTTACCTAAGAACTGGGAGGAAACAGATGTGGTAGATAAAAGGTACAGGGTTTCTTTTTTGAGGTGATGAGAATGTTCTAAAACTGTAATGATGGTTGCACATATCTGAATATGCCAGAAACCACTGAATTGTCTACTTTATGTGGGTGGATTTGGTATGCATGCTATAGTCTGTATATTATAGCTCAATAAATATTTTTCAAGCATGGATTCTGGAGTCAGAGAGATCTACATTCATACCCCAAAACTGCAATTAGTTGATATGTGTCCTTGGGGGTGGTTTCTTAATACATCTGAGTCTTAGTCTTCTCATCTATGAAATGAGGATTTAATAAAATAATGTAGATAAAAACAGTCTAATGCCTGGGATAAAGTAAATATTTAATAAATGTCAACTATTAGTAGTTACCATTTATATTGCCCAAGATTACAAAATCGTTTAATGCTGAAATTCTAATTTCACAAACATTACTCGGTGTTCTTTATATAACACTGCCCTTAAGCCTATATCCCCAATGACATAGCAGGGGTGGTATATAAGAACTTTATATATTATATGTGACAATGTGTTAGTTTGGAAAAACAGACTTTTTTATTCTGCCATTGACTCACTCCTTCCTCACATCACCTCAAACTTACTCATCAACTCAATTCTCTCTTCAGATTGCTGAACTCTCTTTCATGACAGAAACCCAATTCAAACAAATTTGAGAGGATAAAGGAATTTATTATTCACATAATAGGAAGTTGGGAAGTCCAGGGGTGAAGCTGAGTTCAAATAGTTAAAAATGTCATTTCTTTGCAACCTTGGGTCTCTCTCTGGCCCCTTTTACTTCCACCAAGCTTGGGTTTTGACAAGCTGGGAGACTAAGAACATAGCTGGAGACAGTTTCAGAGTCATGTCATACCAGTTTAGCAGCCCCAGTGAAAAGAGAAAACATCTCTTTCTTAGCATCTATATGAAAAATCTTAGAAATTTCTTCCAGCAGCTATGTGAAAAATGTATTTTTTAAGCTTAGGAGAATTTTATCAAGAGAGCGCATACTAATGCTGCATATTATTGCTGAGGCCTATATTTAGTGTTCTTTCTCAAGGCTAAAATGTATGCCTTGTTTTAATATGTAAAACGGTCTACTGCAAGAAGCCAGCTTTATGGACATAGGAAGAGTGTAAAACATGCCTATTCCAGTTGGGGATGGCATTCTAGCCATCTCTCCCATCATAAAACATTTTCGTCAAGGAAGGCGCTTAGAATATTAACAGTCTGATGAGGTTGTTAGCCCTGCTCCATACACCCAGAAGAATAGCAGAACCATTTATGCTTCACACTGCCAAGGTACTGAATTTTAAAGGAAACAGATCCTGGTCCCCTCTTACACTCCTGTTTTCACAGTCATGCCTCACCCCTTTGCTTTTCTCTGACCTAACCTTGGCCTTTCAACAGATTTAGAATGTGCTGCGTCCAGGATGTCTGTGGGCTGCTGCTTTTTTTTTTTTTTCCTTTTTAGAATTCAGCAAATTAATGGCTTCCCTGATAAAGAAGTTAGACATTGACTTGATAGCTCAAGATATATCAAAAAGGTATTCATTTAGAACATACTAAATATTCCAAAACAATTGCTCTTTAATTTTCCCTAGTGTGTTTTTGGCAGGGAGTCTTTAAGAGACATCCACCTGAGATGATGCTAATACTGGGTCACCACCTGGAACGTGATTCTTGATTGGCAAGCTGAACCTACTCCAAATTCCCCAGGGGCCTCGTAGCCTGGAGATGTATCTGTGTTCTTTCTGCATGGTTTATGCTTGAATAATAGAAAATGTATTTAGATGGCTCATTGCTAGGGTATGGGAAATGCATATCCCCTGAGATATGGTTTAAAGGAAGCACACTGAGAGAGTGGCACAAGTAGGTGAGGGAGCAAGGATTTGTTTATGTTTAATCAGGGTCTATTAGAATTCTAATGGCTGCAAGTCTAATGGCAGGAAGTCTCAAAACCCGTTTGGGAAGGAGAATTTCTAGATGAAGTCAGTGAAGGTCAAAGTGAAACACCCCGAGGACAGTAAGGTTTGAGGTTTTGTAGTGGGCAGCCAGATCAGATAGGAGGATCAGAGGCTCAGCCTTCTTAGCATTTAAGATACTACAATGGAAAGGATCTGAAAATCCTGTCCACATAGGGAATTTCTTGACTACTTGAGCAGCCTCTTCAGATTGTAACCTGGCATTGTCTAATCATGTGACCTCACAACAAAGTCAGACATATTTAATCCAGAAATTAGTTTCATTTGGTAAGGGGTTGCAGATTTATAAATATCGTTTTGCTTTTCAGGTTAGATTAGGATGCAGAAAGAGTTTTCAATATTTTTTTAAACACTGACAATCACAGAGTATTAACAGAAACATAATGGGTGGAAGTTCAAATCAGGATGATGCATGGGATGGATTACCTTGCTATGATGCAAATGTGTACAATAAAGATTCTATGACGGAAAAAAAAATCTAAGGGAAGGTTGGTGATTGGAATGACCTGGGTCATGTGGCCATTACTGGAACGACCACTGTGGCCAGAAGGATGAGACTCTACAATTGGCTAGGTCTGGGTCTCATGCCCACCTTGTGATTAGGAAGTGGGGTACTATAATTGGCAGCTGAATGAGAACCACATGGAGTGGAGCAGGGGAAGGTCTCCAGAGGAGAGTGTTGCTGTGAGTAGAAGAGAGTAAAGGAGTTGATGGGCAGATTAAAAGGAAGAAACAAACAATAAAAACTGGATACCCATTCTACTCTCTCAACTAGACCATTCTTCTTTCTAATTTCATTTTATTTTTACTTCAAGTTCTGGGATACATGTGCAGAATGTGCAGGTTTTTTACATAGGTATAGATGTGCCGTGATGGTTTGCTGCACCTATCAACCCATCATCTAGGTTTTAAGCCCTGCATGCATTAGGTATTTGTCCTAATGCTCTCCCTCCCCTTGCCCCCCACCCCCAACAGGCCCCACGGTCTGTTGTTCCCCTCCCTGTGTCCACGTGTTCTCATTGTTCAACTCCCACTTATGAGTGAGAACATGCAGTGTTTGGTTTTCTGTTCTGGTGTTAGTTTGCTGAGAATGATGGCTTCCAGCTTCATCCGTGTCCCTGCAAAGGACATGATCTCATTCTTTTTTTTTTGAGATGGAGTCTCACTCTGTCGCTCAGGCTGGAGTGCAGTGGCGCGACCTCAGCTCACTGCAAGCTCTGCCTCCCAGGTTCACGCCATTCTCCTGCTTCAGCCTCCCGAGTAGCTGGGACTACAGGTGCCCGCCACCAAGCCTGGCTAGTTTTTTGTATTTTTAGTAGAGACAGGGTTTCACCATGTTAGCCAGGATGGTCTCAATCTCTTGACCTCGTGATCCGCCCACCTCAGCCTCCCAAAGGATCTCATTCTTTTTTATGGCTGCATAGTATTCCATGGTGTATATGTGCCACATTTTCTTTATCCAGTCTATCATTGATGAGTATTTGGGTTGGTTCCAAGTCTTTGCTATTGTAAATAGTGCTGCAATAAACATACATGTGCATGTGTCTTTATAGTAGAATGACTTATAATCCTTTGAGTGTACCCAGTAATGGGATTGCTGGGTCAAATGGTAGTTCTGGTTCTAGATCCTTGAGGAATTGCCACACTGTCTTCCACAATGGTTGAACTAACAGTGTAAAAGTGTTCCTGTTTCTCTACAGCCTCGCCAGCATCTGTTGTTTCCTGACTTTTTAATGATCGGCGTTCTAACTGGTGTGAGATGGTATTTCATTGTGGTTTTGATTTGCATTTCTTTGATGACCAATGATGATGTGCTTTTTTTCACATGTTTGTTGGCTGCATAAATGTCTTCTTTTGAGAAGTGTCTGTTCATATCCTTTGCCCACTTTTTGATGGTTTTTTTTTCTTGTAAATTTGTTCAAGTTCCTTGTAGAGTCTAGATATTAGACCTTTGTCAGATGGGTAGATTGCAAACATTTTCTCCCATTCTGTAGGTTGCCTTTTCACTCTGATGCTAGTTTCTTTTGCTGTATGGAAGCTCTTTCGTGTAATTAGATCCCATTTGTCAATTTTGGCTTTTGTTGCAATTGCTTTTGGTGTTTTAGTCATGAAGCCTTTGCCCATGCCTAGGTCCTGAATGGTATTGCCTAGGTTTTCTTCTAGGGTTTTTATGGTTTTGAGTTTTACATTTAAGTCTTTAATCCATCTTGAGTTAATTTTTGTTTAAGGTGTAAGGAAGGGGTCCAGTTTCGGTTTTCTGCATATGGCTAGCCAGTTTTCCCGGCACCGTTTATTAAATAGGGAATCCTCTCCCCATTGCTTGTTTTTGTCAAGTTTGTCGAAGATCAGACGGTTGTAGATGTGTGGTGTTATTTCTGAGGTCTCTGTTCTGTTCCATTGGTCTATATATCTGTTTTGGTACCAGTACCATGCTGTTTTGGTTACTGTAGCCTTATGGTATAATTTGAAGTCAGGTGGTGTGATGCCTCCTGAAATCTTAGTTTTCCCTGTTTCATTTTTCTCTCTCAGCTATTAGAACAAATTAATAAATTCCTATGATTTTTTCCATTCTAAATGTTTCTCATCTTCTTTCTGACCATTATAAATGCCATCACCTTAGTCAGATCTTCATTACCTCACACCATCTTGTGTTGATAAACTCAAAATTAGTCTCCCTGCCTTGTCTCTGTAAGACCAGTTCCTCTGAATTCTGTAACTAGTTGAAATTTCTTTTTTTTAATTTGTATAAAATTATAAGGTACAAGTGTAATTGTGTTACTGGATATATTGCATAGTGGTGAAGTCAGAGCTTTTAGTGTAACTATTACCCAAATAATGTACATTGTATCCATTAAGTAATTTCTCATCTTCCACTCTCTCCCACTCCCCCATCCTTCCAAGTCTCTGTTGTCTATCATTTCACATTCTGTGTCAATGTGTACACATTATTTAGCTCCCAGTAAATGAAACTTCTTTAACCACCATCTTCATCATCTAATAATGATAATGTCACCACTTAAAAAAAATCTGTGGTACTTCTTCATATTGTCAAAGAATGATTCCCCACACAGAAGTCCTATATGTATCATTATATATGATATAGTGACTCTTATTGTATCAGGATATGATTGTGCCTATAAGTCCATAAAAGGGCAATTTCATGTTTCTATATAAGAGGTGGAAAATTAAATCTTGCACAAAGAATAGTGTCAATCCCTTAGGGAAAAATCACCTGGGAAAAAGATATCTTCTAGACTAGAAATTAGAACTCTGATTGAACAGCAAAAAAGGGAAAGTGTCAATTGGTCTGGACCACAAAGGTATCAAAGTATGCAGAAGATAGCCTCTAAGTAGTTAGACAATTAGATAATTTTCTTACATTGAGGCAAGGCAGGAATTAGCTATTATTAATAAGTTATAATAACAAATACATGAACTTCTTGCTATGTGCTATCATTAAGTATTTATATACATTATTTCATTTCATCCTCAAAATAACCCTATGACAAAGGCATTAATTTACCCATTTTACAGATTCAGAAACTATATTTCAGTGAGATGAAGATTCTCGCCCAATGTTATATGGTTTAATGGCAGCGCTAGGATTTAAATACAGGATTATGTCAAAGCCCAAGTGCCCAGAATATTCCTATTTTTTCCCTTCTGGAAGTCTTCTCTGTTTGCTTTTTCAGATTCTATCTGCTTGCTTTGTTTTCACTTAATCTTTTAGTCTATTGGAAAGGCTTTTTTTTAAAGTATGTCTTACAAAGGACTAATATCCAGAATCTATAAAGAACTTAATTAAACACATCAACAAGAAAAATCAAATAAGCTCATTAAAAAGTGGGCAATGGACATACAGATACTTCTCAAAAGAAGATATACAGGTGGCCAACAAACATGAAAAAATGCTCAACACCACTAATCATTAGTGAAATATAAATCTAAACCACAGTGAGATACCATCTCACACCAGTCAGAATGGCTATTGTTAAAAAGTCAAAAATGACAGATGTTGGCAAGGCCGTGGAGAAGAGGGAAAGCTTATTCACTGTTGGTGGGAGTGTAAATTAGTTCAAACACTGTGAAAAGAAGAGAGTTCTCAACTAAAAATAGAACTACCATTTGGCCCAGCAATCCCATTACTGGGTATATACCCATAGAAAAATGAATTGTTCTACCAAAAAGACACCTGCACTTGCATGTTCATCACAGCACGATTCACAATAACAAAGACATGGACTCAACCTAGGTGCCCATCACTGGTGGAGTGGATAAATAAAATGTCATACATATGCACCATGGAATACCCTGCAGCCATAAAAAAGAACAAAATCTTGTCCTTTGCAGCAACATGGATGCAGCTGGAGTCCATTATCCTAAGCAAATTAATGTAGAAACAGAAAACCAAATAATATATGTTCTCACTTGTAAGTGGGTGCTAAACATTGAGTACACACAGACAAAGATGGGAACAATAGATACTAAGGACTCCAAAAAGCAGGAGGGAGGGAGAGGGGCAAGGGCTGGAAAACTTCCTATTAGGTACTATATTCACTATTTGGGTGATGGGATCAATAGAAGCCCAAATCTCAGCATCACACAATGTACTCTTGTAACAAACCTACACATGTACCACCTGAATCCAAAATTTAAAAGAAAATTATGACTTATATTAACAGATAGAAAAATTGACTCTTTTTCATGTGTACAGTTCTGAGAACTTTAACATATGTATAGATTTTTATAACCACCAACAAAATCTGGATACAGACCAGTTCCATCACCTCAAAGATCTCCCCCATGCTAACCCTTTGTGGTCACACCTTTTCTCTACCCCCTAATCCTTGACAATCACTGATACGTTCTCTATAATTATAGTTTGGTTGTTTCAAAAATGTCACATACATGGAATGATACAATATCATACTGATACGAAAGGGAAGTGCTGGGAAAGGAAGAGCGTGGTCCCTTTAAATGATACTGAATGTGGGAAGGGAAGTGCTGGGTAGAGGAGGGCATGGTCCCTGGCTAGGGCTCCACCCCCACGGACCTAAGTGAAGACAGGCATTTTGATTTTTCCTGCCCAAATGTTGCATTTCCCACGGCCACCCTGGCCTGCCGCGCCCCCATCCTGTGCCTATAAAACCCCCCCGAGACCCTAGCAGGCAGACACACAAGCTGCTGGACATCAAGAGGAGCAGATCAGCAGAAAAAGACACGAGCAGCTAGATGTCGAGAAGCCATTGAGGGGAGCACACCGGCAGAAGGGCACACGACAGAGACCGGCACACCGCAGGATATCGACTGGTGGAATAAGGCAGAGTTTGGCCTGGGCAGTCGGAGGAGAGTCTAGGCCACTGAGCTGCCCGACTCCGGGGGAGAACCTTCCCAATCCATTCCCTTCTGGCTTCCTCCATCTGCTGAGAGCTACCTCCCTCAATAAAAGGTTGCACTCATTTTCCAAGCCCCGGTGTGATCCAATTCTTCTGGTACACCAAGGCAAGAACCCAGGATACAGAAAGCCCTCTGTCCTTGCGACAAGATATAGGGTCTAACTGAGCCAGTTAACACGAGCCACCTACAGAAGGCAAAACTAAAAGAGCACTCTGTAATACATACCCACTGGGGCTTCAGGATCTGTAAACATTCACCACTAGACACTGCCGTGGGGTCAAAGCCCCACAGCCTGCCCATTTGTATGCTTCCCTAGAGGTTTAAGCAGCTGGGCACGGAAGAAGCAAGCCACACCCCCATCGCACGCCCTGAGAGGGAGACAAGGGAAGCTATCCTGTTGCAACACCTTTTGAGGCAGACTCGTTTCACTCAGCATAAGGCCTTTGAGATTTACTGAAGTTGTTGGGTGTATTCTTTTAATTGCTGAGTTTATTCTGTTGCATAGGTCTATCATACATTCATTGGATGGACGTTTGTTTATTCATCTGTTCATTGAATGACATTTGGGTTGTTTCCATTTTTGGCAAACATGAATGGAGCTGCTATGAGCATTGGCGTATAACAAGTTTTTGTGTGAGCATAAGTTCTCTTTTCTCTGGTATAAATACCTAGGAATGGGGTTGATGGGTCATATCCTGGAAAGTATATGTTTAACTGTATAAGAAACTACCAAACTATTTTACAGAGTGGCTGTGCTATCTTGCATTCCTGGTAGCAATGTATGAGAGATCCAGTTGCGCTGCTTTCTTGCTAGTACTTGATATGGTCAGTGCTTTCTAATTTGAATTTTCCAAATGGTGCATGATCTTGTACATCTTGTTCTTATTTGCCAACCTTACATCATCTTTGGTGAAGTGTCTTTTTGAGCTTTTCGGCATTTTTTAAATTGGTTCATTTATTTTCTTCGTGTCAAGTTTTGAAAGTTTTTAAAAATGTAGGTCCTTTGTTGGATGTTTGATTTGCGAATAATTTTCCCAGTCAATATCTTGTTTTTTTTTAAATTTTTTAACAATGTCTTTTGCAATGAAGAAATTTTATTTTGATGAAATTCAATTTTTTTTTCTTAGGGACCATTCTTTTAGTATCATGTCTAAGAATTATTTTCTAATCCTTGGTCACAAGATTTTCTCTTAGGCTTTCTCCTAAAAGTTTTATAGTTTTATATTTTATACTTAGATTTATGACCCATTTTAAGTTAATTTTCAATATTATAAAGTGAGAAGTTTAGGTTAAGTTTTACTGTTTTGCATATGGATGACCACATGTATATGGATGATCAACACTAGTTGATGGAAAAAAATCCTTTGTTCATTGAATTTATTTTGTACCTTTGTCAAATATTGAATGGCTTTATTTGTGTAGGTCTATTTCTAGAGTCTCTCTTTTGTTCCATTCTTTCTTTCTCTCTCTCTTTCTTTTTTTTTTCAGGGTCTCACTGCCACCCAGCCTGGAATGCAGTGACATGATTATGGATCACTGCAGCCTCAACCTCCTCGGCTCAAGTGACCCTTACACCTCAGCCTCCCAAGCAGGTAGCTAGGACTACAGGCATGTACCACCATGCCTGGATACCTTTTCTTATTTTTTGTAGAGATGGGATTTTGTCTTGTTGCCAAGGCTGATCTCTAACTCCTGGGCTCAGATGATTCTCCCACCTCGGACTCCCAAAGTGCTGGGATTACAGGTGTGAGCCACTGCTTTTGGCCAACCTTGTCTACATCACACTATCCTAATTAATGTAGTTTTATAGTAAGTCATGACATTGGGTAATATGATTCCTCCTACTTCTTTTTAAAAATTGTTTTGTCATAGGTTTTGCTTTTAATAGTCAAACATTTCAAACAACTCAATAGGGCAAAAATCTATAATATTTCCATAGAATTTTACCATTTCTCTTGTTTTTTCTTCATTCCTAATGTTCTAAGTTTCCTTCTGTTTTCATTTCTCTTTTAATCAATTATTGTAGACTAGGTCTCCTAGCAATTAATTCTTTTAGTCTTCCTTTTTATTCTTCTCAGATAATTGCCTTAGTTTACAATTATCTAAAGAAATTCTGAAGAATATTTTCACTAGTTATAGAATTCTGGGTTGGCAATATTTTTTCTTTTAGCATTTTAAAGGTGTCGTTTCATTTTCTTCTGGTGTCCATAGTTTTTTTTTTCTCTCTCTCTCTTTTAAAGACAGGGTCTTGCTCTGTTGCCCAGACTGGAGTGCAGTGGCATGATCACAGCTCTATGCAGCCTCAACCTCCTCAAGTGATGCTCAAGAAATCCATGATTTCTGATGAGAAACTGCAATCATTGAAATCTTGTTGCCCTATATGAATGTGTTGTTTTTTTCCTGGTTTCTTTCACAATTTTTTCTTTATCTTTATTTTTCAACCTTTAGTTATTATGTGGCTGAGCATAAATTTCTTTGTATTTATTCCATTTGGGGTCCATTGAGCTTCTTGAAATTGTATCTTTGTATTTTTTACCAAACTTGAGAAGTTTTGGGGCATTGTTTCTTCAAGTATTTTTATACACCATCTCTCTCTCTCTTCTCCTCATGTGACTTCAATGGTATGCATGTTAGACATTTTGGTACTGCCCCACATGTCCCTCAGGCTCTATTCTTTTTTAAAAAATCTTTATATTCTGTGTTGTCTAAATTGAATAATTTATGTTGATATATATTCAAGTTCACTGACATTTTTCACTGCTTTCTTTATTGTGCTCTAGAGTCAAGCCAGTGAGTTTTTAAATTTTGGTTATCACATTTTTTGGTTTGAAATTTTTTATTTGGTTCTTCTGTATATCCTCTATTTCTTTGCTGAGATGTTCTATTCTTACTTGTTTCCAGTGTTCACCCTTACTTGTTGGAACATTTTTATAATAGCTGCCTTAATTCTCTCTCAGATAATTTCAATTTCTGTCTTATCTCAGCATTATTATCTGTTGATTGTATTTTTCTATGCAAGTTGAGCTTTTCCTGGTTTCATATGTTGAATAACTTTGCATTGTATCCCAGACATTTTGAGTATTATTTTATGGGACTTTGGATTTTGGTTAAATCCTATAGATAACGTTAATGTTTTAATTTTAGCAGACAATAGAACCAGGTGGATTCAGACTACAAGTTCCAGCTAGCCTTCTGTGAACTGTGTTTCCATGTCAGTTCAGTTGTTAAAAATCTCTGCAGTGCTACTCCGATTTTTCTTGCATGTGCACCACCAAGTGCTCAGTATGGGATTTGGGCAGTGGCCTATTCCACAGTTTAGATTTCAGAGATTGCAAGTGCTGTTTATAGTCAGATCAATGCATGTACACTTTGGAGGTGAGCCCATGAGTATATAAACAACTTGGAGGAGTTGCTTTCCCAAGCTCCTCCCTCTCTGCAATCTCCCCAATATTTATATTTTCCTGGGACTTCTCTTTTTCTGTCCTGGAGTGAGAAAACCAGGGCTTTATTTATCCCACTCTATGGACCACTTCCCATGATTCCATCGGGACCAAGCAGCAGGAGGGCAGAGAGAAAAAAAATAACAGGGGTTCACCCCGCCCTCTAGGGACCTCAGCTCCTCTGATTATAGTAGAAAGTTCCAGTTGCTGCCTCTTCCAAAATCATTGCTTGGGGGCTGGGACACTTAAAAAAAAAAAAAAAGAAACAGAGGAGAAGCAAGAGAATAAAAGAAACACAGGTGATTTTCACACTTTACCTGAGTGTTAGAAGACTGCTTTCCCTCTCTTTAACCGGAATTAGAGGGCTTCTGCTCCAGTTCTCTCTGTTCTAACACTCACTTCTAGACTGCAGGCTGGTTTCAGTTCCGGTCAGAGGAGATTAAAGGGAAAAAAAGCATAACATCACCACTGGTTCAGTGGTCTATTGAACTTGGGTCTTCTTCTCCAATACACCTGCTACTGTTTATTTTTCAGAGGCTTCTATGTTTTCTGTCCAGGTTTTTCAGCTTCATTCAGTGGAAGGGGCTGGGTGAGATGTGCTTAATTCATTTTACCCAAAACTAAAACCTCTTTGAAAAGGCTTTTGAATAGTCCATTTTGTTTCTGCTCTACAAAGGCACAAGGAGTTTTTAGTTACTTTTTGACACAGTGTGAAAGAAAGAAATTGTATCCATGGGGTTGACAATGGTTCTTGAGGTAAGGAAGTTCCAAAGGATAGGATAACCTTGGAAGAGTGTAGGGGTTGCTTGGGCAAGCTTCCCCTTCCTGCTTGGAAAGTCTTCTTCCAGAGTTAAATCTTGAAATTTTTGAGTTTTGTTCTATGATAGAGACAATATGGTAGTATACCCATGATCTCATAAGAATTATATAATAATAAAAACTTTATGGTTTTTCAAATTATAATATTTTTATGATTTTTAGAATTATGATAAAAATATTTTATGATTTTATAAGGACATTATACTCTTCCTGATTAAATAAAATTCAGATCCTTTAGTATTCATACTTGAATAAGAAGCAAGGAATGCCTGGAATTTGTGGTCCACTCACTATTTTCATGCCAAGTATTCACCTTCCCTGACTACAATTTCCACCTCCTGGGGAAACTGATGCCCCTTTAACATTCTGATGCTCATATGGACACAGGGCTCTTGCTAGATTTTCCAAAGCACAGCTGGACAAGGTTAGAATATCTGGATAAGACATTAGCAAGTATTCTGAAATAACAAATGGGAAATAAACACAGAAAGTAAGATGAATGTAAAAAGTGTGGCTTGCAAGTCATAGATTCTTTTTTTTTTTTCCTGAGATGGAGTTTCGCTTTTGTTGCCCAGGCTGGAGTGCAATGGTGCTGCAATCTTGGCTCACCACAACCTTCGCCTCCCGGGTTCAAGCGATTCTCCTGCCTCAGCCTTCCTGAGTAGCTGGGATTACAGGTACGCACCACCACACCCTGCTAATTTTGTATTTTTAGTAGAGACAGGATTTCTCCATGTTGGTCAGGCTGGTCTCGAACTCCCGACCTCAGGTGATCTGCCCGCCTCAGCCTCCCAAAGTGCTGGGATTACAGGCGTGAGCCACTGCACCTGGCCCAGAGATTCTTTTACAGATTTTGCAGGGTCCTTCCCATCCCTGGGCAACCTTGCCCCAGTTCTCCCTAGTACTCAGTCTGCCTCCATGTAGTGGTAATCATCTGAACATAACCACACTTTCATCAATTAGGGCCAAGTAGTTTACCTTCTTGGTTCTGTTTGAGGTTTCTATTTTGAGGACCACTGTACTTCCAAGATGTTTCACACAGGGAAGCACTTCGTCTTGCTGCTGAGATACTACTCCCTATCAATAGGGATGTACCTTCAATGATATGTCACATGATTATTTAACTGAAAATAATCTCCTCATCATCTTAATCTCTGCTAGATCATTCCAATATTCCCTCAGCACACAAACATGCTGTAAAATGCCTTCTTAAATAAAGAACACAAAAGTGCTTCCTTTATTCTACAGTCCCTCTTAGTGTGTGGCTCTATCTATCTTTAGAAAGAGCAAAACTCTTAACTATGCTACCTGTCTCCATTGTCTCTCTTCCCATTCTCTCTTGAACTCAAAGATATTGATTCCTACTATTCCACCTAGAATGCTCTTGGGTGGCCCACCAAATGGCATTCAGGTTGTAAGATGCAACATTCAATTCAGTCTACATCTTACATGCTCTGAGCAGCATTAACATAGTTTGATCACTCACTCTTTCCCTAAAAACATTTTAACAAGCCTTCTGAGGCACCATATTATCCTGATTTTCTTTCTCTATCAACTGCTCCTTCTCATCTTTCAGATCTCTGAATGTTGGAGTGCCCAGGACTCTGGCCACAGTCCTCTTTTCTTTTTTTTTTTTTTTAAATCTATATTCACACCCTACAAGATCTGATCTATTCCCATGACTTTCAATACTATTATATTCTGATAACTTGAATTTTTACCTTCAGACCCAGCCTCTGCTTTGTATTCAATAGTAATATATGCAACTACTTAATCAATATTTCCATTTGGATGTCAGCTAGATATCTCAGATTTAATATCTCTAAAACTGAATGCTTCTGCTCCTCTGCAGTGTCCCCCATCTCAGTAAATGGCATCTCCTTTCACCCAGTTACTCAGGCCAAAATCCCTGGTGCCATCGTTGACCCTCTTTTCTCTTATACACCAGTTCTATTCCATCAGTGAATTCTGTCAGCTTGTCACTTCTTGCCGACTATCTTGCAAACACCTTAGTCCAAGCCTTCTGCAATTGCTTTCATGAATCTATGCACTGATTGTCCTGCTTTCACTTCTACTCCTATAGTCAGTTCTCAAAGAGCATTTAGGGTGGTTCTTTTAAAACATAAATATGATCATGTTACATCCTGGCTCAACCGTCTAGTGGTTTTACATCGTACTTAGAATGAAATTCAAAGTCAACCCCAAGTTTAAACTTGGCCTACAAGCCCCTACATTATCTAGCCCTAAGGAACTCCAAAATCATCTCCTACAGCTTTCTCCTTTCTTAATGACATTATCAGTCCAGTCACACTGGCCTGCTTGCTATTCCTGCCCCTCTTGGCACCTTTGCAATTGCTATAGCCTCTGCTCTTCTTTCGCCCAAGGTACTGGCATTGCTCTCTCCCTCACTCCACTTAGGTCTCTGCTGAAATATCACCTCCTCAGACGGACCTTCCCTGACCACTCCTTAAACAGCAATCTCTTCATTCTTCACTTACTCTATTTTATATTTTTATCAGAGTCTGACATATTATATAGTACTATGTTTATTTGTTTATTTTCTGTCTCCATTTACTAAAATATAAGATCTAGGAGGGCAAGGATTTTGTTTTGTTCATTGCCATGTCTCCAACACCCAGAGCAGCCTCTGGTAGAAAGTAAATATGTTGGATGTCATGATGGCTACATTTAATCAGCTCTTACTATGTGTCTTAGATTGCTAAGTACTTATATGCATTGTTTTGTGAAAGTTGTCAGAATCAAAATGGAGTCATTTTTTTTAAAAAATAAAACACATTCTAACAAATAGAGCCAGAGAAGGCTATGAAGAGAAAGCTTTCTTGCATAAATGCCTGATGACAAAAACAATCACAAAAGATTCTGCAGAAACTGCAGTCTTGCACAAAGGCCATCCCAACCTTACACGAGAAATGCTTCTGTGAGGACATCTGCCTAATAACTGCCTGTTCAACCTCAGACTGGCATCACTCTTGTTATTGATCTTTGCAGCTAAGGATAATTATCCCAAAACAATTATGTAAACCTCCTGATTTTTCATTTAAAAACTCTTGTCTTGGCTGGGTGCAATGGCTCACACCTGTAATTCCAGTGCTTTGGGAGGTGAAGGTGGAGGATCGCCTGAGGCTAGGAGCTCGAGATCAGCCTGGGCAATATAGTGAGACCCTGACTCTACAAAAAAAAATTAAAATTAGCCAGGCATGGTGGCGCATGCCTGTAGTCCCAGCTATTCAGGAGGCTGAGATTGGAGGATCACTTGAGCCCAGGAGTTTGAGGCTGCAGTGAGTTATGATGGTACCACTGCATTCCAGCCTTGGCAGTAGAGTGAGACCCTGTCTGTCACAAAACCAAACAAAAACAAACAGCAAAATCCTTGTCTTTCATTACCTCCCAGAATATGCTCATAGTTGACTATGGCACGCATATGCCTATTGCAGTGTCCTATTCCTAAATAGATATTTTCTTTTAGAGAGTTTCTCTCTGTTATTTAGTTTGACAGTTCCATTTAATTTTGTTTACTTCACACATAAGAAACCCAGCATGCAATAACAGAGTCATCATTTTCCTACAGTCTCTCCACACAGAAGTTCCATGCCATAGGAACTCATACCATCCTATGAGTTCCTCCAGTGTGAAGACCAAACTCCTGACACTGGCCCACTCCAACTTCAAGATTCTCTGCCTTAAACATCAAAGCCCAGCCAAGATGGGCTTCTGTAGCTCCTCCCTCTATTGCTTATGTTAAAGGGATGGGGCATTAGCCCCAGTGTTTACATGATGGTGTTATGGGGAAATGCAGAGTCCTCGGTCCTTTGGAAGAAAGAATCAGCCAAGAGACAATTTAGCCAAAAAGAAGAACTTATTGAAGGAAAATAGAGAGCAGAGAGTATATTTGGAGAGTCAGTACACTCTTAAAGATGAGGCAAAGGGGGCTGCTGACAGAGAATGAGCCAGCAGCAGCAGCCCCGAGAGTTCTGCATTAGGTTTTCACGGTATCAGAGTTTGAAGTTCCCACCTCTGTCTTAAGTCTCTACCTTTTTTCTCTGTCTAGTTTTTCCACTACTGCCTTAAGTCCCTGCCTTTATCCCCACCTAGCTCCCATCCAGGCCTGTGGGAGCCTCCCTTACTGTTAGTTGGTCTGCGTGCGTGGGCCCGGTGTTGGATATGAATTTCACCTGCATCGCTCATTACTGCCACCTCAGAAATGTTGTAGAGTGGTCACATCTATACTTAATGCACCAGTGTATATCTTAGGACATTTTTCCCCTTGCTCTCTTCCCCTCCTTATCAGCATGTAGCTAGCTACATTCTGACAGGTTAACTGCAGAGTGAGCGATTACTGGGCATCTTAAGGTAGCATTTCAGAGTGTTCCTTTCTGCATAGCTATTTCCCCTCCTCTCTGCTCATACCTAGTATGCATGTTTGGGGTGGTCTCTGGCGTGTGAGATTTTCTAGACCTCCCTTTCCTCAGGGGCTCACCCTCCTGCTCATGTCTGGCTATCTGCCTACTCTAACAATGGGAGCACACCGCTAAACTATACTAACTGAAGCTAGTAGTAGGGGAAGTTTGTGTGGGTGCTTGGATGTTGGCTTCTTTTGCTATCAGTAAATACAATGGCCATGTGTATTTGGTATCTTGGCCAGCCTTTTTAAGAACAAATCCTAGTATCCTTGAAAAGAAGACAATTCATAAAGCTGGTATTTCACCAGCATTACTGTAGCTCAGAGGGAGGTTTTCCCTTCCTGTGTAGGAGAGTACAGGGAGTTCTATTTTGAAAGGTCTCTATACTTCTCCAGGCCCTCGTGCCCAATTTTGTTTGAGAGTCGTGGATTTTGCAAATGTTAAAAACAGTTACTGCTGGCTGGGTGCAGTGACTCACACCTATAATCCCAGCACCTTGGGAGGCTGAGATGGAAGGATCACTTGAGCTTAGGAGTTCAAGACCAGACTGGGCAACATAGCAAGACCTTGTCTCTACTAAAAATAAAAATAAAAAATTAGCCAGGCTCAGTGGTGCACACCTGTAGTCCCAGCTACTCAGGAGGCTGCGGCAGGAGGATTGCTTGAGCCTGGGAAACCAAGGCTGCAGTGAGCCATGATCACACCACTGCACTCCAGCCTGGGCAACAGAGGGAGACCCTGTCTCAAAAAAACAAAACAAAACAAAACAGTTGCTTCTGAGTGATGGGATTTGGGGTGATTTTCTTGTTACATTATTCAAGTCTATATTCTATTATTAATTTTTGTAATAAGTATATATAATTTTACAGAAAACAATAAAGAAATTATCTAAACTAAGGGAGGAAATGGTAAACAGGTGGAATATTACCAAGGGGGAAAATTGTTATTGGATTGCTTGGCACAGAGGTCATTTTTGAACCTTATGAGAGCCATCGCTTCTGGAAGAGTGGGTTGAGGAGTAAATGGAAGGAAAGGATAAGGCACATGACTAAGGCAAATGCTTCTCAACCCCTATTGCATCCCTGAGAATCACACATTAAATCATATTTCTGGGCCCCATCTTGCAGATGTTCAATTCAGTTGGTCTGGGGTGGAGCAGATCACTGGCTTTTCTACAGCCTCAATCAATGTCTGAAGAAATAGCTGCCCTTACCTTCATAACATAAAGACTTACACTTTTCTTTCTCTTAGGATGGAATGAGATGGAAACCTTAGTCCTTTCAAGATAACCCTGAAAAAGTTAATTTTATGTTCTATAGGCTGAGGGTTTGGCTTCTTGCCCTCGTTTCCAGCTTCCACCAATATCTTCCCAGGCTGGCTTCTTGCCTAGATACATCTCAAATTGGGATGCAGTTTCCCAATCTAGTTCTCACCCTTCTGACACTGAACAGGTTTATGAATCTTTTTTTTTTTAATTTTAAAAATTAAAAAATGTTTAAAGATGCCAACAAGGTCAACTAGGCCAGCTCCTCTCCATGTCCCTGATCTTGTTTGAAAAATTTATTAGTTTCTTTGTCCTGCTCAAACATGAGTTCCCTGATGGCTAAATTCCATAAGATAACTATCATACCATTATTAGAAATCTTCATAAATACCGGGTGTAAATGTCCCTGATTTTTTGAAAATGTATTTGGGTCCCCTTTGCTTCCTTCCAGCCCCTTTCCTGACGTATCTCTTGATTTTGCTCTGGAGGTGAGCGCTGGCCACAAAGTCCTGCACTCTCTTTATTTAACACACTAGGCCCACAGGATTCTGGGTGCCTCCTTCAGTGAAGAGGCTTCAGCACTCTGGCCTTCTGTTGGAAATCCTGTAAGGGTAAGGAACAAGAGATGGTAAACCGTTTCAGGAGATAAAACACCAAATGGTGTGTCTGATCTCAGGTTCCCTCTGTTTTACCAAAAAACGAGTCAACCGGGTTATCCCCTGATCCAAGAGACCTGAAGCATGAGTCTCAGCAGCTCTTAGGTACACTGAGAAACCTGCACAAACCAGTGGCTCCTCCCAGACACTGAGAAATTAAACCTCAGGCTTGCGTCAAGCCCTCAACATTTTAGGAAAATGACCAACAAGTTTTCTCCTCTATTTATATGTGGAAATGTTCATTTCACTTGCAAAAGAGAAGACCAAAATGTCATTTTTATGATTATGATGTTATAACAGAAATGTAGGAGTGTGAAATTTATAATGTTATAGACCAATTTAGTATGAAATGCAAATATCACGGCAGAGTGGGCTGGCTACTCAAATCTCAGCTGAAATGCTCTGAAAGAGTCCCCATGGCTAGCTAGTTCAGCTGACTAAAGGGCCCCAGTGTCCTGGAGAAGAAAATAAAGAGGGGATATAGTTGGGGGAATGAAGGCAGTTTAAACTTTGTGAAGCTTCCTTAGCTCTTCTCAGGAGACTGTTCATGGATTTGAATATTTATAGTAGAGAATTCTTCCTCTGTAGTATGTGTACTTGATAATTAATTTAATAAATATAATTTTGGATAATACAGACCTTTCCTTATGGTGACTGTGATAGCTTGAAGACATTTAATAACCTGCAAATCTTACTGCTTCAATCCTCTGCTCAAAGTCCTCCAAAGGACCCCAGTGCCAATCATTCATCACCCATTGGTTTGATCATCTTATTCCTTGACTTTCTAGCAATTATGTATTGGATAACAGGCCCTGTGCTAGAGGTTGGAGATATGGCAGTAAAGAAAATAGGCATGGGAATCCCAGAATTCTTAGAGCTCATATCTTGTATGAGGACAGAAATTAAGCTAGTAATTTTAACATTGTAACGCTATGCAGATCTGTATTTTTCCTTGATATCTCATACACAATTATGTTTCCAATATCTAATTATGTTCCCCTGCAGCCATTCCACCAATGTAGTCCCAGGAAATGGGAATGATGAATGTCTCTTTAGAAAGAAACATGATAAAAGGGAAACCCTCTCCAGAAAGGAAGACAAAGTAAAAGGAAGCACATTTTATTAAAGGCTAAAGTATAAAGGTGGAAGGATGCAATAAAAATCTTCAGGTAGGGAGGATGGTGACCTGACACCCTAAGAACTTGGTGGCAGACTATAAGCCTAGAAGCTCCATACTTGATACGGGGGTGTGTATTACTTCCTGTACCTATTGAAACAAATTACCACAAACTTAGTGGCTTGGAAAAACACAAACTTATTCCCTTACAGCCTTGCATTCTTAGGTTATTCTTCAGTTACACAGAGACTTCAGAGGAGAACATCTATTCCAAGTTGTATAAAAATTAATACTTTGGTAGTCTAAAATGTGTTTTAAAAAATTGGTAGATGCTATGGTTTGAATGGTTCCCCTCCAAAATTCATGTGTTGCAACTTAATCCCCGTTATGGTGGTATTAAGAGTTTCGGACCCTTTGGGAAGTGATTAAGTCATGAAGGCTCTCCCTCATGAACGGATTAATGCCCTTACAGAAGAGCCTTCAGAGAGAGTTTGTCTCTTTTTATTCATCTGCCTTCACCTATGTGAGGACACAGCATTTGTCCCTTCTGGAGCACACAGCAAGATGCCATCTTGGATACAGAAAGAACAGCAAACAACAAACACCGCCAAACAGACACCAAACCTGCCAGCACCTTGATTTTAGATCTCCCAGCCTTCAGAACTGTAAGAAATACATCTCTCTTATTTATAAATTACCCAGTCTGTGGCATCTTGTTACAGGAACGCAAGCAGACTAAGATAGTAGAGGACACATTTAAGTTTGTGTGCTGCTGTGTATTCACATTTTTAAAAGCTAAAACACATTTCAAAATTAAATTAAAACCAAACACTTGTGAAACAGCTGAAATATTTTAGCTAAATTTTACAGAAGACCACATTAGAAAAAACTGGTTGACTCAATATAAATGATCCTTAGTGTAATTCAATTTCTAGTATTCTCGTATGTCTACAAAATTGGTCTTAGTCCTTTCACTATCTTGAAACTAAGAAAACATATGTCTTACAAGGAGGATATTTGCACTTAATAATCACTGAAAAGTTGGGCAGCATTCATGTGGTCTCATCATATTTGTCTTCTTTGCCACCTGTTAAAGATCTGGAGCACAAAAGCAGGACAGTGGAAATCGTCAGATAAGTTTATGTTAAGAAATAGCTGTGTATAATACTGTCCTGGTCATGGAAAATTAAAGGTCAGAAAACAGACACTTTCAGACTATGCATGTGAACTATGTGTTAACAGTGCTGTCTCCCTGCACCTACCATACCATCTTATGGTACCGTTTGAGGCTGAACATAATTCAAATTGGAATAGGATAAGGATTTCCTTCACTCCTTACAAGATAAAAAGGTCATAGTACATTTAAAAATATTTTCCCCAGATATATTATGCAAATTCTGAAATGGTAGAATAAGCAATCATTTCCTACTCCCTGAAGCATGAACTCCTAGTTGAGAACATCACTAACAAGTTGAAAGCATACCTGCCCACGCATGTCTTATGCACTTTCACTTGTGCACATACAAAACCATATAACTCCTTGTACAAGAAAACTTAATTACTAGGCAAGACGCCTCCACCAGCTCTAGCAGCAAGCCTATTTATGGAAACTCTTCCTTAGAGAATATCTTATATCAAAATGATATTGCCAGCCAGCCATGCAGGGAGATTACCTACAGAAGCTACTCTGGCACTGACTCGAGCACAGAGGAAATAGCTGTCAAACCCACTAGCTGCTGGCTTCTTGGAGGCAGTGTTTAAAAACTATCTCAAAGTCTATGCTAAAAAATATAGAGCAGAAATTTCAGCAAGTAGATGGAGAGTTTTACTGGTCTAAGAAAAGTTTTAATGATACCTAAAAATTACAAATGGGCTAGAACAGGAAAGGCAACATTATACATCAATTAAAAAGTTAAACTGGAGTTCAGGTTGTATTCCAGAAACCGCTATTCACTTTATTTGATATTCTTTATAAGGGAAGCTTGAGGTTATTAAGTCACTGCCCTCCCAATGCAGTATTACATTTTCTGTAATCTGTAGGAAATAATATCAGGAAACTGATCAAATTCCAAGTCCCTAAATATTACCAGAACAACTTATTGATAAGAAAAAGATTATTTTATTTCTTACAGTGATAAGGGAGACATAATATGGTAGTTTCTTGGAGGAGAATGAACAAGATTTGATTTATTCAGATTTTGAAGTCTAGTTTAAGGCAGGTCTGTCAGAGCAGGGGTGAGTGCAATAGAGAGGGCTTAATTAGGATAGGGTAAGGGCTATGATAGAATATTAGGATTGGTGAAAAAAGAAAAGAGGTCGTTTTGAAGCCAGGAGCACAAAGTCTTGGGATGTGAAGACAATTGAAATTAAAGTCATGTTAACGTAGATAGTAAGCTGTGTAGGAGTAAATGGTTTCAGTTCTCAATATTAAGAGTCCGGAGAAGAGAGGATGGATTTTAATAAGTTATCGGGCCCTTTCATGAAATCCATGTGGATAAGATGGCGCAGTGTAACTTGCTTCCTTTCACGCTTATGACTAAACCTGGTGGTCCTGGTTGAAGCATCAGCCAAGTATATCACTGTCAGGATTTAAGTTCTAAGGACTGAACTGGGATGGGGCAGCAAGGAGCAGGAAGATCCAAAGTGAATTTAAACAGAATTCTTAAGCAAAGCTGAGAGTCAAGCTGAAAAATGAGGATCAATTGGGAATTCTGGAGGCAAGAGCAATGCTACAAATAAGAAAAGAGATAGGTCAGAAACAGGTCAGAAACAAAACGCAACCTAGATGAACACAGTTTGCAGCTAAATCAGGAAGGGCTTAGATGGATGTTTTCTGGGATTGGAGTTCAAGTATTTGAGGCTTTTCTGATGCCTGGTGCTTGGATAAGTCAGACTAGCTTAAAGATATAGGTTTGGAGCAGGGATCCATCCCTCATCCTACCCCATCCCCAAACCCTACCACTGCTATGTAGGCCTCTCCCAATCAAACAGTAGGTTGGGTGTGGAGCTTTCTCAAGTTTGTTTTGCATAAGACTTGGCATGTTTGAGAAGCTCTTCCAAACATGGAAGAAGAGCTACTTCCCATGAATTCATAAATGCCTCTCTAAGTCAGACCCTTACCTCTGCCTCAGGGATTGGAGTAGTCTATATCGCTGTTGGAAGTCTAGTACTTCCACTTCATGCTCTTGCTCTCTACCTCTAGTGACAGGATGAGTCACTGGACTGGAAGGCAGATTGGATCTGTATTTTTAGCCATATGGCATTCAAATATCTCTGTGACCTTGAATCAGTCCAAGAAATAATCCTCAACTTTTCATAAGCGGGGTATGGGATTTGGTGGGGTGAGGGAGGCAAACTGCTAGAGAATAGAGGAGCTGTGGATGGAGTGAACTAATGAATTGTTGAGAGATGTGTGTCTACCAGAAAACAAACCACGAGTGGTTATTATTATACGAAATTGCTGAGAAATCCTCCCCTGTCCCTCCTCTACCCTACTTACCCCAAAATCACTGAGTCTTGCTCTCATTTTTCAGGCCTCTGACATGTGACCATCCACTGATTTGCTAACTGCCTCTGTGATCTCCACTAATAATTATCCACTGAGCACTTCAGTGAGTTTTGTAACCCAGCTCTCGTGCAAGTTGGAGGACTTCATTTACTCCCTCAGTTTCATCATTCCTCCTTCTTCAGGAAAGAATCTCACATTCCAGAGCTAGCTCATGTACCCTGCTTCCTGTCCCATTATGGGTGGAGATTTGGACATTTTTGCCTAGAACCCATGATTTCAGGAGGTTCTTCTCTCCCATGTGGGGACAATGAATGTAATTTCAGCCCTTCTATTCTTACTGTGCCTGGGAAATGTCACATTAATAATAGAAATAATACAGAGTTTTGCAGATAACTGCTGTACTTACCAACCTATTGATTGCAAGAGTGGAATTCACTGGCACATGCATTGTTGCTGCTTTCTCCCCCTACAGAAAATGATGGGGTTGAACTAACACATTTCCCAACTACTTCCTACAATGCTTTTTTTTTTTTCCCTAACAGCCTTACTGAGATATAATCCACATACCATAACTTCAGCCATTTAAAGTGTACAATTCAAGGGGTTTTGCTCTATTATTCATTATTTTAAGTTGTGGTGATGATAGATAACATAAAATGTGCCATTTTAACCATTTTTAAATGTATAATTCGGTAATGTTAGTTACATTCACAATGTTGTACAACCGTCACATTATCTATTTCCAAGACTTTTTCACCAACCCAAACAAAAACTCTGTTTCCTTTAAGCAATAATTCCCCGCTCTCCTTGCCTCCAAACCATTAGGTTATCTATTCTACTTTCTGTCTCTATGAATTTGCCTATTACAGGTCCCTCATTCAAATGAAATCATATAATATTTGTCCTTTTTGTTTGACTTATTTCACTTAGTGTAATATTTTCAAGGTTCAGAACTTCATTTTTTATGATTGGATATTTTATTATATCTATATACCACATGTTGTTTACTTATTCATCTGTTAATGGACCTTGGGGTGTTTCTATCTTCTGGTTATTGTTGAATTATGCTGTTATAAACATTTATGCACAAATATCTGTTTGAATTCCTGTTTTCGGTTAGTTTGGGTATTTACCTAGGAGTGGAATATAGTAATTCAATGTTTAACTTTCAGAAAAATTGCCAAACTGCTTTACACAGCAGCAGCAGCACTATTTTACATTCCCACTGGCAATGCGCAAAGGTTCTAGTTTCTCCACATCCTCATTAATAATTGTTAATTTCTGTTGTTGTTTTATTATAGACATTCTAGTATATGTGATAGTGGTATCTCATTGTGAAAGGGGTACCTTACTGTGGTTTTGATTTGCATCTCCCTAATGACTAATGATGATGTTGAGCATCTTTTCATGTGCTTGCTGGCCATTTGTATATCTTCTTTGGAAAAATGTCTATCCAAATCCTTTGCCCATTTTAAAAGTTGGGGTTTATTTTGCCATTGTAGTTGAGTTGTAGGATTTATTTATATGTTCTGAATGCTGGGCTTTTGTCAAATGATTTTCACTCCCTTGATGCTGTCCTTTGATGCACAAAATGTTATTTTTATGACATCAAATTTACCTATTTTTCTTCGTTTATTGTGCTTTTGGTGTAATATTTAAGAAACTATTGCCAGCTAGGTGCAGTGGCTCACGCTTATAATCCCAACACTTTGGGAGGCTGAAGCAGGCAGATTGCTTGAGCCCAGGAGTTCAAAACCAGCCTGGGCAACATGGTGAAACCCCTTCTCTACAAAATACAAAAATTAACTGGGTGTGGTGGTGTGCTCCTGTACTCGGGAGGCTGAGGCGGGAAGATCACTTGAGCCCAGGAGGTGGAGGCTGCAGTGAGCCATGATCACACCACTGCACTCCAGCCTGGGCAACAGAGTAAGACTGTCTCAAAAAAAAAAAAAAAAAAGAAAAAAAGAAAAAAAAGAAAGAAGAGAAAAGAAAAGAAAACATTGCCAAATCTAAGGCTATAAAGATTTCTCCCCATATTTTCTTCTAAGAGTTTTATAGTTTTAGCTTTTAAATTTAGGTTTTTGATCCATTTTGAGTTACTTTTTGTACAGCGTGTAAGGTAAGGGTCCAACTTCATTCTTTTGCCTATGGAGATCCAGTTTTCCCAGAACTATGTGTTGAAAGACTGTCCTTGAGTGGTCTTGGGGCCCTCATCAAAAATCAACTGACCAGCTGGGCACAGTGGCTCACGCCTGTAATCTCAGCACTTTGGGAGGCTGAGGCAGGTGGATCACCTGAGGTCAGAAGTTCGAGACCAGCCTGACCAACATGGTGAAACCCCATCTCTACTAAAAATACAAAAATTAGCGGGGCGTGTTGGCAGGCGCCTGTACTCCCAGCTACTCAGGAAGCTGAGGCAGGAGAATCGCTTGAACTTAGGAGGTAAAAGTTGCAGTGAGCCAAGATCGCGCCATTGCACTCCAGCCTGGGCGACAAGAGTGAAACTCCATCTCAAAACAAAACAAAACAAAACAATTGACCATATATGTGAGAGTTTAGTTGTGGGCTCTCAATTCTCTCCCATTTGTCTATATGTCTACTATGCCAGTAAAACAATATTTTGATTTCTGTAGAATTGTAGTAAGTATTGAAATTGTGAAGTGTGATTCCTCCAACTTTGTTCTTCTTTTTCAAGATTGTTTTGGCCATTAGGGGGTCTCTTAAAATTTCATCTAAATTTTAGGATTAGCCTGTCAATTTCTCCAACAAATTCAACTGAAATTTTGATAAGGATTGTGTTGAATATGTAGATTAATATAGGGAGCATTGCCGTCTTAACAATATTAAGTCTTCTGATCCTCAACGTAGAAACACATAGGAAAGTTAAAGAAAACATAGATTTTCTTTGCAGGAAGCTTCTTAATTACTAATTTAATCATTTCAAAGAACCAAGTTTTGAGTTTGTTGATTTTTCTCTATTCTTTTATTTTCTCTTTCATTTCTTGCTGCTCTAATCTTTATTATTTTCTTCCTTCTGCTTGCCTTGAATTTAGTTTGCTCTTCTTTTTCCAGTTTCACAGGGTGGAAAATTATGGATTTGAGATCTTTTTTCTCTTTTAATATAGATGTTTATCACTATAACTCCCTTTCAGCACTGCTTTTGCTGCTTTCCATACGTTTTGGTAGTTATCTTTACCTCAAAGTATTTTGTAATTTCCCTTATGATTTTACTTTAACTCACTGTTTATTTAGCAGTATGTTGTTTAATCTACATGTTTGTGAATTTTCCAAATTTCCTTCTGATATTGATCTCTAATGTCATTCCATTGTAATCAGAGAATATATTTTCTGTGATTTTGATCACTTTAATTTATTGAGACTTTTTTTATGACCTAGCAAATGGTCTTTCCTGGAGACTGTTCCAGGTGCACTGGGAAAGAATGTGTATTCTGCTGCTGTTGGGTGGGGTATTCTATAGATGTCTCTTAGGTCTAGTTGATTTATAATGTTGTTTATGTCTTCTGTATCCTTGTTAATTTTATCTCTAGCTTTTCTATCCATTATTCAAAGTAGGTGATGTCTTTAACAGTTATTGTTGAAATGTCTATTTCTCCCTTCAGTTCTGTTAGTTTTTCTTCATGTATTTTGGGACTCTGTATAAATACGCATACATTTATATGTGTTACATCTTCCTGAGGGATTGACCCTTTTATCATTATGAAAATGTCCATTATACCTAATGGCATTTTTGTCTTAAAGTCTATTTTGTCTGAGACCAGTATAACCCACTGTAGCTCTCCTATGGTTGCTAGTTGCATGGTACACCTTATGCTATCCTTTTATTTCAACCTATTTGTACCTTTGTCTATAATACATCTCCCTTAGACATCATGAGGCAGGATCTCATTTTTGTAACCCAATCTGACAATTTCTGCCTTTTGATTGAATTATTTAATCTATTTACTTTTATGTTATTATTGATATGGTTAGATTTATGTCTGCCATTACGCTTTTTGTTTTGTACGTGTCTCATGTCTTTCTTATTCTTCTGTTCCTCCTTACTGTGGCTGATGAGAGACATTTCACACCTTATCCACTAAGAAGAACCAAAATAGTGAGTAGATAATCACACTTTGAATAGATCATCCAAGAGAGAACACTGGAATCCAATAGAAAAGTGACAGGTAATACCTAAAGCAAGGAAGAAAAACAAAGCATGGCAGCCCGATTGGCCAGAATTAGCTAGAAACCAATGTGGGGAAAGGGTAAGTGAGAGACCCTCAGCAATCCACATTACCACCACAGACTTCTGCAATCCTAGCCACTGGAGAGTCCCATGACCCTTGTGGGCCCTAAAACTAAAGTAGGAAGCTGACAGGAGATTGTGAAATGACACTGCTCCAGGGAGGGAGCTAACATTGGGTCCCTGAGACCTAAACAGCTACAGAAAATTGCCTCACCCTCAAAAGACAGTACACTGTCCTGGAGCTCAGCAGCGCTGGGTCTGAGGCACTAGAGAAGCATGGGCTTCTGTCCCCAGGAATTAGGCACCAGCTACCATGGGCTACCACATCCCAGGCTGAGGGCTGAGATACTTCCATTGGGACTGAGGCATGAGCAAAGCACTACTTTGCTACTGCAGCAAGGGCTGAGGCACAAGTACCACCAGAATTGAAATGTGAGAGGCATGCATTTTCCAC
Source organism: Homo sapiens (assembly GCF_000001405.40). Classification (NCBI taxonomy): domain Eukaryota; kingdom Metazoa; phylum Chordata; class Mammalia; order Primates; family Hominidae; genus Homo; species Homo sapiens. The sequence goes on along the minus strand of NC_000009.12, from coordinate 34,777,555 downwards.
CCACTGGCCTAGGCTGCCACCACTGAGGGCAGCACCACCCTCCCTAGTAGTAGGGTATCAGTACGGCCATTGCCCAACTTCACTGCCCTCGCCCTAGCCACAATCTGGGGGCTAAGGGATCTCCCAGCCCAATCCACCACCATTGGCATCTGAACATTCCTCCCAGGCTACCTGTGGGCCTAGAGACTGGCCTGCCCAGACCATCACATTCACTACCAATGCCAGCACACACCAACCAGGGCCCAGAGAGTCATCCCACCACTGCCATCACCCTCACCATGCTGGCTTCCCAGGGTCCTGAGAACCTCCCCACCCACCCAGCCTACTGCTGCCACTACTGACATCTGAGTAAGACACATAGAGGCCCAAGAATCAGCCCACCTGGACCCCCTAAAACCAGTACAAGCATATACCACCCTGGGGCCCAAGAACAGACACACTCAGCTACTGCTGCCACCAATGGGGCCCAAAGACTGCCTTACCTGGCATCCCCATCCCCAGAAAATCTTCACTGCCTCCTCTAATAACTGCATCCTAAGCCACTGAGGAAATTACAGATACCACTGATGCTGTTTACAGCCAAATAAATCATACAAAGACTATGCTACTGCATGCACCCAGAATCAAGCCATAGTGTGTCATCAAACCAACACCTTAGATACATCTTCAGGAAAAAGTCCTCCCCTATGAAAGTAAATTCAAATAATTGGAAGAGGGACCAATTGTGTTGTCCCAATTGTGTTGTCCCAATTGTGCAGACATCAATGTAAGGACACAGGAAACATGAAAAAACAAGGAAATGTTACACCTCCAAAGGAATTCAATAATTCACCAGCAACAGATCATGATTAAAAAGAAATTCACAAGATCTCAGAAAAATAATTCAAATTATTGATTTAGATGAAGCTCAGTGAGATACAAGAGAATTCTGAAAACCAATACAGAGAAATCAGAAAACAATTCAGGATATGAATGAGAAATTTGCTAAAGAGATAGATAAATATAAACGAGAACCAACAAAAATTCTGGAACTCAATAATTTATTTAATGAAATGCAAAATACATTCAAACACTTTAACAATAGACTAGGCCAAACAAAGAAAGAATCTCTAAACTTGAAGATAAGTATTTTGAAATAATCCAGTCAGATAAATAAAAGGATATAATAGAATGAGCAAAGCCTCCATGACATATGGGACACCATAAAGCAGCCAAATTTATAAATTACTGGGGTTCCAGAGCAAGGTTCTGGGTGGAAACAGTGGCATGTAATCTTGGATTACTTCTCCAGTTGTGGAATTTCCATCCTAAAAGTAAGTTTTAAGAGTACAGTTAAAATATACAATTCTATGATTTTTAGTATGTTCAGAATTTTGCAACCATCACCAAAATTATTTTAGAATATTTTCATCCCTCTAAGAGAAACTCCGGTGATTCCCGTTGGCAATCACTCCTAAAATTTCCTTCAACCAGCCTCTGGCAGCCACTAATCTATTTTCTATCTCCACAGATTTGCCTATTCTGGACATTTTATATAAGTGGAATCATACAGTATGTGGTCTTCTCTGACTGGCTCCTTTTACTTTGCATCTTTTCAAGGTTCATCCACGTGGCAACATATATAACTACTTCATTCCTTTTTATTGCCAAATAATATTTCCATATATGGATATACAACAATGAATGGATATTCAGTGCTGGGCATTTAGGTTGGTTTCATTTGGAGGCTATTATAAATAATGCTGTCATGAGTATCTGTGTACAAATTTTTGTGTGGACATATGTTTTCATTTCTCTTGGGCGAATATCTAGGAATGGAATTGCTGAGTCCTGTGGTACCTATGTTTAACCCTTTGGGAAACAAGGATTAGAAACAAGGATTAATTTTTTTAAAATAGATTTTATTTTTAGAACGTTTTTAGATTTACTGAAAAAATGAGAAGATAGTACAGTTTCCATGTACCTCACACCCAATTGCATATATATTTTTATTGTAGTAAAATATACAAAACATAAAATTTGCCATTTTAATCATTGTTGAGTGTACAGTTCACTGGCATTAAGTGCATTCCCACTGCTGTACAACCATCACCACCATCCATATCCAGAAATTTTCATTATCCCAACTGGAACGCTGTACACATTAAACAATCACTCTCCATTACTCCCTTTTTCCAGTCCCTGCTAACAAGTATTCTTTCTGTCTCTATGAATTTGGCTATTCTAGGTACCTTACATAAGTGGAATCATATAATATCTGTCCTTTTGTATCCTTATATCACTTAGTATAAAATCTTCAAGGTTCATCCATGTTGTAGCATGTATTAGAATTTCATCCCTCTTTAAGGCTGAATAATATTCTATTATATATATTGTTTATCTCTTCATCTGCTGAAGAATATTTGGATTGTTTCCACCTTTTGGTTATTGTAAACAATACTGTTACAAATGGATGTACGAATATCTCTTCAAGTTCCCATTTTCAATTATTCTTGGTATATTCCCAAAAGTAGAATTGCTGGATCATATGGTAATCCTTTAATTTTTTGAGGAACTACCATACTGTTTTCCCCAACAACTGTAACATTTTACATTTCCAGATGCAATGCACCAGGGTTCCAATTTCTGCACATCCTCACCAACAATTATTATTATTATTAATATTAGCCATCCTAGTGGGTGTGAAGTACAAATCACTGTTGTTTGGATTTGCATAATTTCCCTATTAATTTCTGATATCAAACATCTTTCAGTGTGGTTTGGCTTTTTTTTGTGTATGTGTGAGATGGAGTCTCACTCTTGTCGCCTAGGCTGGAGTGCAGTGGCACAATCTCTGCTCACTCCAACCTCTGCTTCCCAGGTTCAAGCGATTCTCCTGTCTCAGCCTCCCAAATAGTTGGAATTACAGGTGCCCGCCACCGCTCCCAGTAATTTTTTTGTATTTTTAGTGGAGAGAGGGTTTCACCATGTTGGCCAGGCTGGTCTCCAACTCCTGACCTCAGGTGATCCACCTACCTCCGCCTTCCAAAGTACTGGGATTACAGGCGTAAACCACCACACCCAGCTGGTTTGGCTTATTTCTATATCTTCTTTAAAGAAATGCCTTCTCAAGTCTTTTTCCCATGTTCACATTGGATTGTTTGTTTTTTTTGTTTTTGTTGTGTGTTGTAGGAGTTCTTCATATATTCTGGATAGCAATCCCTCATCAGATATATGATTTGCAAGTATTTTATCCCATTCTGTGGGTTGACTTTTCACTCTGTTGATAGTGTCTTTCGATGCACAAAAGTTTTTGATTTTGATGAAGTTTAAGTTACATCTTTATCTTTTGGTATCATCTGTGCTTTTGGTGTCATAGCCAAGAAATCATTGCCAAATCCAATGTCATAAAATTTTTCCCTGATGTTTTCTGCCAAGAGTCTTATTTAGCTCTACATTTAGGTCTCTGACTCATTTTGAGTTAATTTCTGTGTATGGTATAAGCTAAAGGTCCAGCTGCATTTTTGCATGTAGTCACCTGTTGATGACATCTTACATTAGTATAGTACATTTGCTATCATCAATATACTAATATTGATACATCATTATTCATTAAATCCACATTTTACTCAGATTTCCTTAGTTTTTACCCAATGCTATTTTCCATCCCTGGATCCCATCCAGGACCCCACATTACATTCAGCTGTCATAAATCCTCAGGTTCCTCTTGCCTGTGACAGTTTATTAGATATTCCTTGTTTTTTACGACCTTGACAGTTTTGAGAAATATTGGTCAAATATTTTGCAGGAGGCTCCTCTACTGGAATTTGTTTGATGTTTTTCTCATAATTAGACTGGGGTTATGGGTTCTGGGGAGAAAGACTACAAATCTAAAATGCCATTTTCATCATATCATATCAAGGGTACACACTCTTCTCTCCCGTTTACTTATTTATTCTCCCCGTTTATTTGTTTATTCAATCATTTATTTATATCAGTGTAGACTTGTGATATTTGTTTTATCCTTTGGATTGTAATCCAACATTGCTTTGTTTATTTTGTTTCTCAAATTATTCCAGGCTTAGTCATTGGGAACTCTTGCAGTTGACTTCTGAATTCCTTTGACATCTCCACCAATTTTTTTTTTTTTAGCACTTGTTTCTTTCTGGCACTAGAAGATGCTTCAAGCTCATCTTGCATGTTTTCTGACCCAGTCCTAAAATCAGCCATTTCTCTAAGAAGCCCTGCTTCGTTTTATTGGAGGATGGTATTAAAAACCAAACTCTGGGCCGGGCACGGTGGCTCATGCTTGTAATCCCAGCACTTTGGGAGGCCAAGATGGGCGGATCACCTGAGGTTGGGAGTTCGAGACCAGCCTGACCAACATGGAGAAACCCCATCTCTACTAAAAATACAAAACTAGCTGGGCGTGGTGTCGCATGCCTGTAGTCCCAGCTATTTGGGAGGCTGAGGCAGGAGAATCACTTGAACCCGCGAGGCGGAGGTTGCGGTGAGCCGAGATCGCGCCGTTGCACTCCAGCCTGGGCAACAAGAGCAAAATTCCATCTCAAAAAAAAAAAAAAAACAGAACTCTGAGAGCTAGATATGCTCATTGCTACTGGTGCTCCTGGTCTTTTAGATCCTCTCAGCTGACAGAGCAAGGAAATAGGTATGTATACTAACCGGTATATATACACATATTTGTAAATATTTCTACATATTTCTATTTGTAACCATATGTATCTATATTAAGCTAAACATGAGGTTATACTGGTATTGCCAACTGTAATCCACTAGTACATGGATCATGCTAGCCTCCTCCCCTGCTCATCTGCAAATTCCCACTCCAGTCGTAAGAAACCTGGCTCCACACTCCATCATCCACTTACTACATTTAGTTCAGTGAGGATTCCTTTTTAATGTGTAATTTTAAATAGAATTTTGAGATTAAATGTGCATTCATGTATGGAAAGAATATTTTCCATTTTTATTTTCCTACTTATTTACCTACTTTGTCATTTTTAAATCATTTTTATTCATTCTTCTTTAATCATTTTTTATATATCTTGTATGAATACACATAGCTAACTATTACTCCATAAAAGATTTTTGTCCGACCTTCCTCTCTGCAAGTCCTTAGCCTTTTAGGTTCAAACCAGTCACGTAGGTTGTTTCCAGTTTTCTTCTCATAAATCATTTGATGAACATACTAGGTAATCAATTTTTATACACACAATTATTTCCTTAGGAAAAATTTCAAAAAGTGAAATTATTAAGTCTAAATATTGGCATATTTTAAAGCCTTCGATATCTCTAAGGAAATTTCCCTCCAGAAGAGTTTTTACAACTCACATTCCCATCAGCAAGGCTCTTAGGCGTTGTTGACTGATCCTAGGAATCAGTCTCTTGGGGAGTTTAATTTAATTCATTATAACTTGTTCTTATGGCATAAAGATACTGAAATCTGAGCTGAAACCTCAGCTGAAACCTGAGCTGAAACCTTTGTAAGGCTGATTTAATGTTCAGAATTAAGAATCAGCTTTCAAATTAGCTCTCTTAATATTTAGCACCTGGTGTTATTTAACGGCTATTATCTTGATGAATTTCCATAATAAAACACAGCTTTTAATCTTAAATCCTAGCATGTCTCAGCCAATCTCAAAATGAGGATGGGGACAGGGACATTTTATTGATCTGTTTGACTGAAGCCTCCGCAACCTTACCCTTGGAGAAATGCACCACAAAATGTTTTCTTTAAAACAAATCATTCTGGGTTCGAGCCCTGGTTCAGACCTAAATTCCTAACACCGCAGCTGTTAGGTTTCTCTCTAGAATGTACAATCAAAATCTTTCTCCTGATTATTTATAATGATGGAATAGTTCTGTACCTTGATAGCAGTGGTGGTTACACACATCTACACATATGATAAAATGGCATAAAGTAATCACATACATTATATAAATGTAAATTTCCTGGTTCTGATTATTTTATTATAGTTATATAAAATGTAACCATTGGGGAAAACCCAAGCAAAAGGCTTATATGTCCTCTCTGTACTATCTTTGTAATTTTCCATGAGTCTATAATTATAGTCATATACCACATAATAACTTTTTGGTTAATGATGGACTGCATACACAATGGTGGTCTCGTAAGATTAAACTGTATTTTTTCTGTACCTTTTCTATGTTCAGGCATACAAGTACTTACCATTTTGTTACAAGTGCCTGCAGTATTCAGTACAGTAACATGCTGTATAGATTTATAGCCTAGCAGCAATAGACTACGCAATATATAGCCTCAGCATGTAGTAGGCTATACCATCTAGGTTTGTGTAAATACAGTCTATGATGCTGGCACAACAATGAAATTGTCCAGTGACTCATTTGTCAGAATGTATCCTCGTCACTAAGTGACACATGACTGTATTTCACAATAGATATTTATTTATTTATTTACTTCGAGACAAAGTTTTGCTCTTGTCACCCACACTGGAGTGCACTGGCTCAATCTCGGCTCACTGCAACCTCTGCCTCCTGGTTTCAAGTGATTCTCCTGCCTCAGCCTCCCGAGTAGCTGGGATTACAGTCATGCGCCACAATGCTTGGCTAATTTTGTATTTTTAGTAGAGACGAGGTTTCACCATGTTGGTCAGGCCAGTCTCTAACTCCTGACCTCAAGTAATACACCCACTTCAGCCTCCCAAAGTGCTGGGATTATAGGTATGAGCCACCATGCCCGGCCACAATAAATTTTAAAAATCTTTCTCCAAGAGTTACCTTAAGAGACTTTAATTTTTTTTTGCATAGATAATACACTCACACGGTTTCAAAAGTGTTGCCCTCTTCCCTTTCTCCACCTAACCCATACCGCCATCCCGTTTCTATTGCTTCCCCTAACTTCTTTTCTTCTATATCTTTCTGGTGTTTTTTTGTATAAAATATAGGCAAATATGAATATATTCTTATTTTTCCCACCTTTCACACACAAAGGGTATGTGTTAATTTGGGTCCTCTGAAAAGCTGTTGTCAAGACAGACTTAAATGTGAGAATAATTATCAGAATTGGGATTATTGGGTCAAAAGGAAAATATATTTGAAATTAATAATAAATACTTCTAAAATTTTTCTCCACAGGAATTGTACTATTTTGCACTCTCACCAATGAAGTGTGAGATTGCAGTAGCTCCTCATCTTGCCAAAAGAGTGTGCCATGAAACTTTTGAATTTTGTCAATCTGCTGTGAGAAAAAAGGTGTGATTTTAATTTGCATCTATCTTATAAGTTTGACCATCTTTTCATGTCTTTAGGGGTCATTAGTATTTCTTTTTCTGTGGACTGTTTATGTCATTTGCCAATTTTTCTGTTGGATCATTGGGTACTCTTTACATATAAGGCAAATCAGTGTTTTGTCTAATAAGGTTTGCAACTTTTTCAGGTTGTAGTTTGTCTTTTGGCTTTGCTTATAGTGTGTTATACTATGCAAAACACACTATATTTATTCTATGTAGTAGAATAAATTAATCCTTTATTTTATGGTTTCATTGTCTTAACTAAAAAGTCTTTCCTCTCAATAAGGTTCTAAAAGAATCATTCCATGTATTCTTCTACTATTTTCATGTAAGCACTATTTATATATGATTTTTTCAAATTAAATCCTCTATTAATTTGAAGTTAACCCAAGTATATGATACAACCTATGAATTTGCCTATCTTTTTCAAGAAGGCAAGCCAGTTGTCCTAAAACCATTTATTCAAAAGATATATGTTTATTCTACTGATTTGAGATGCTACCTCTCTCGTATACTAATACATACATGCTCTATTCCTGGATATTTTGTTCTGCTCTGTTTGTCTGTCAGTTTATGCATAAGTACCATACTGTTTTAATTATTAAGACTATATAGTCTCTTATTAACTGACAGCACTAATCTCAGTGCTATCATAGTTCTTTCTTTTAAGAGTTTTCCTGGATATTTTTGCTTACCTTCAACCATAAATTTAGAATCAGCTTGTCTAATTGGGCCCCCTAACCAGAGAAATCTATTGGCATTTTTGTTGGGATCACATTAGTTTATAAATTACCTTGGGAAGAATTGTTGAGTCTTTCTATCCCTTAGAATATGGTATATCTATTTGTTCAAGATTGCATTTATGGCCAGGCATGGTGGCTCATGCCTGTAATCCCAGCACTTTGGGAGGCCGAGGCAGGCGGATCACCTGAGGTCAGGAGTTCAAGACCAGCCTGGCCAACATGGTGAAACCCTATTTTGCATTTTGTAAAAATACAAAAATTAGCCAGGCGTGGTGTTGGGTGCCTGTAATCCCAGCTACTAGGGAGGCTGAGGCAGGAAAATCACTTGAACCTGGGAGGCGAAGTTGCAGTGAGCCAAGACTGCGCCACTGCACTCCAGCCTGGGTGACAGAGCAAGATTCTGTCTCCAAAAAAAGGATTGCATTTATATATTTGAAAATGATTTACCTTTTTTCTCAAAAAGGTTTTACATATTTTGTTTCTGGGTATTTATTCCTTGTGTTGCTATTGTAAAGGGGACCTTCTTCTCCAATATATCTTCTAATTGTCATTTGTATACACAAAAGTTTTTTATTTCTGCATATTAATTTTTATATTCTGCTACCTGACTGAATTCTCTCTCTCTCTCCCTCTCTCTCTCTCTCCCCCCACCTACTAGTAGTAGTAAATTTTAGTTGATTACCTTGGGTTTTTCAGGAATACAGTCATACCACTTTCCAATAGTGACAGTTTTACTTTCATTTTACCATTTTTTAATGCTTTCAATTTCTTCCTGTTTTCCAGTTGTGTTGCTCACTCCACTCTCTACCAAACAAAGGCAATGAAGAGCAAGATAAGCAGGTAGCGGGGCCAGAAGAAGTCTTTAGTGAGAGTGTTCCTTAGGTTTGTGTTTTGTCATAGCTTTTCTTCTATTATAGCCACCAACGTACGCCAGGCACAGTGCTAAATTTAATTTACAACATCCCATTTAATCCTACAAGCATTCTGTGAAGTTGATATTACTATTGGCTCCATTTTACAGATTTTTTAAAAAGTCTGAAATGCAGAAAGGGAAAAAAATTGCCCAAGGTCACAAAAAAAGTGGTAAAAGTAAGATTCAAATCTAGGTCTAATTCCAAAGAAACCACTCAACTACCATGCTAGTTACATACACCCCAGAATAGCATAAGGTGCCCTTTGCTGTAACTTTCCAGAAAAGAAGGACTCTGGTCTTGCTGAGGCCCATATTTGAGCCGTAGTCTGTGGTTTTGGCCGGATCCAGATTCAAGCTTCTTAAACAGCTTGCATGGGATAGCCCTAAAATATCCCTGAATGTGTTTCCCATTGCCCATAACCTCTGAAAGAGAATAAGCTCTGGGAGTGCAGAGTCTAATTTTGTCTTTGAACTTGTCATTTGTAGCCATGTCCAGTGAAATAATGTAGTATGCGCATGAGCAGAGGAGATAGATGCAATATGTCTGTCACCATTCAAATATAGCATTTGCAATGCCCCATGAACACAGAATTCTGGTGGACCAATGTCTGAGTTCAGCAAGACTCAAAGTGAGTACAAGGTAAGCATATTATGGAAGCCACTGACTTCCATAGTGTCGGTAGATGTGCACGCATCCAGAATATGAATTCTGTAATGTTAGTGATACCGCATGAAAGTGAAGTGCTCTGATATTTACATTTAAAACTGACAATGGGGGCAGCCAAGATGGCCGAATAGGAACAGCTCCGGTCTACAGCTCCCAGCGTGAGCGACGCAGAAGATGGGTGATTTCTGCATTTCCATCTGAGGTACCCGGTTCATCTCACTAGGGAGTGCCAGACAGTGGGCGCAGGACAGTGGGTGCAGCGCACCATGCGCGAGCCGAAGCAGGGCGAGGCATTGCCTCACTCCGGAAGCGCAAGGGGTCAGGGAGTTCCCTTTCCTAGTCAAAGAAAGGGGTGACAGACGGCACCTGGAAAATTGGGTCACTCCCACCCTAATACTGCGCCTTTCCGACGGGCTTAAAAAACGGCACACCAGAAGACTATATCCCGCACCTGGCTTGGAGGGTCCTACGCGCACGGAGTCTCGCTGATTGCTAGCACAGCAGTCTGAGATCAAACTGCAAGGCAGCAGCGAGGCTGGGGGAGGGGCGTCCGCCATTGCCCAGGCTTGCTTAGGTAAACAAAGCAGCCTGGAAGCTCGAACTGGGTGGAGCCCACCACAGCTCAAGGAGGCCTGCATGCCTCTGTGGGCTCCACCTCTGGGGGAAGGGCACGGACAAACAAAAAGTTAGCAGTAACCTCTGCAGACTTAAATGTCCTTGTCTGACAGCTTTGAAGAGAGCAGTGGTTCTGCCAGCATGCAGCTGGAGATCTGAGAACGGGCAGACTGCCTCCTCAAGTGGGTCCCTGACCCCTGACCCCCGAGCAGCCTAACTGGGAGACACCCCCCAGTAGGGGCAGACTGACACCTCACATGGCCGGGTACTCCTCTGAGACAAAACTTCCAGAGGAACGATCAGACAGCAGCATTCGCGGTTCACGAAAATCCACTGATCTGCAGCCACCACTGCTGATACACAGGCAAACAGGGTCTGGAGTGGACCTCTAGCAAACTCCAACAGACCTGCAGCTGAGGGTCCTGTCTGTTAGAAGGAAAACTAACGAACAGAAAGGACATCCACACCAAAAACCCATCTGTACATCACCATCATCAAAGACCAAAAGTAGATAAAACCGCAAAGATGGGGAAAAAAACAGAGCAGAAAAACTGGAAACTCTAAAAAGCAGAGCACCTCTCCTCCTCCAAAGGAATGCAGCTCCTCACCAGCAACGGAACAAAGCTGGACGGAGAATGACTTTGACGAGTTGAGAGAAGAAGGCTTCAGACGCTCAAACTACTCCGAGCTACAGGAGGAAATTCAAACCAAAGGCAAAGAGTTAAAAACTTTGCAAAAAATTTAGACGAATGTATAACTAGAATAACCAATACAGAGAAGTGCTTAAAGGAGCTGATGGAGCTGAAAGCCAAGGCTCGAGAACTATGTGAAGAATGCAGAAGCCTCAGGAGCTGATGAGACCATCTGGAAGAAAAGGTATCAGTGATGGAAGATGAAATGAATGAAATGAAGCGAGAAGGGAAGTTTAGAGAAAAAAGAATAAAAAGAAACTAATAAAGCCTCCAAGAAATATGGGACTATGTGAAAAGACCAAATCTATGTCTGATTGGTGTACCTGAAAGTGACGGGGAGAATGGAACCAAGTTGGAAAACACTCTGCAAGATATTATCCAGGAGAACTTCTCCAATCTAGCAAGGCAGGCCAACATTCAGATTCAGGAAATACAGAGAACACCACAAAGATACCATTCGAGAAGAGCAACTCTAAGACATATAATTGTCAGATTCACCAAAGTTGAAATGAAGGAAAAAATATTAAGGGTAGCCAGAGAGAAAGGTCAGGTTACCCACAAAGGGAAGCCCATCAGACTAACAGCGGATCTCTCAGCAGAAACTCTACAAGCCAGAAGAGAGTGGGGGCCAATATTCAACATTCTTAAAGAAAAGAATTTTCAACCCAGAATTTCATATCCAGCCAAACTAAGCTTCATAAGTGAAGGAGAAATAAAATACTTTACAGACAAGCAAATGCTGAGAGATTTTGTCACCACCAGGCATGCCCTAAAAGAGCTCCTGAAGGAAGCACTAAACATGGAAAGGAACAACCAGTACCAGCCACTGCAAAATCATGCCAAATTGTAAAGACCATCGATGCTAGGAAGAAACTGCATCAACTAACGAGCAAAATAACCAGCTAACATCATAACAACAGGTTCAAATTCACACATAACAATATTAACTTTAAATGTAAATGGGCTAAATGCTCCAATTAAAAGACACAGACTGGCAAATTGGATAAAGAGTCAAGACCCATCAGTGTGCTGTATTCAGGAAACCCATCTCACGTGCAGAGACACACATAGGCTCAAAATAAAAGGATGGAGGAAGATCTACCAAGCAGATGGAAAACAAAAAAAGGCAGGGGTTGCAATCCTAGTCTCTGATAAAACAGACTTTAAACCAACAAAGATCAAAAGAGACAAAGAAGGCCATTACATAATGGGAAAGGGATCAATTCAACAAGAAGAGCTAACTATCCTAAATATATAGGCACCCAATACAGGAGCACCCAGATTCATAAAGCAAGTCCTGAGTGACCTACAAAGAGACTTAGACGCCCACACAATAATAATGGGAGACTTTAACACCCCACTGTCAACATTAGACAGATCAACGGGACAGAAAGTTAACAAGGATACCCAGGAATTGAACTCAGCTCTGCACCAAGCGGACTTAATAGACATCTACAGAACTCTCCACCCCAAATCAACAGAATATACATTTTTTTCAGCACCACACCACACCTATTCCAAAATTGACCACATAGTTGGAAGTAAAGCTCTCCTCAGCAAATGTAAAAGAACAGAAATTATAACAAACTGTCTCTCAGACCACAGTGCAATCAAACTAGAACTCACGATTAAGAAACTCACTTAAAACCTCTCAACTACATGGAAACTGAACAACCTGCTCCTGAATGACTACTGGGTACATAACGAAATGAAGGCAGAAATAAAGATGTTCTTTGAAACCAATGAGAACAAAGACACAACATACCAGAATCTCTGGGACACATTCAAAGCAGTGTGTAGAGGGAAATTTATAGCACTAAATGCCCACAAGAGAAAGCAGGAAAGATCCAAAATGGACACCCTAACATCACAATTAAAAGAACTAGAAAAAGCAAGAGCAAACACATTCAAAAGCTAGCAGAAGGCAAGAAATAACTAAAATCAGAGCAGAACTGAAGGAAATAGAGACACAAAAAACCCTTCAAAAAATTAATGAATCCAGGAGCTGGTTTTTTGAAAGGATTAACAAAATTGATAGACCGCTAGCAAGACTAATAAAGAAGAAAAGAGAGAAGAATCAAATAGACGCAATAAAAAATGATAAAGGGGATATCACCACCGATCCCACAGAAATACAAACTACCATCAGAGAATACTACAAACACCTCTACGCAAATAAACTAGAAAATCAAGAAGAAATGAATAAATTCCTTGACACATACACCCTCCCAAGGCTAAACTAGGAAGAAGTTGACTCTCTGAATAGACCAATAACAGGCTCTGAAATTGTGGCAATAATCAATAGCTTACCAACCAAAAAGAGTCCAGGACCAGATGGATTCACAGCCGAATTCTACCAGAGGTACAAGGAGGAACTGGTACCATTCCTTCTGAAACTATTCCAATCAACAGAAAAAGAGGGAATCCTCCCTAATTCATTTTATGAGGCCAGCATCATCCTGATACCAAAGCCGGGCAGAGACACAACCAAAAAAGAGAATTTTAGATCAATATCCTTGATGAACATTGATGCAAAAATCCTCAATAAAATACTGGCAAACCGAATCCAGCAGCACATCAAAAAGCTTATCCACCATGATCAAGTGGGCTTCATCCCTGGGATGCAAGGCTAGTTCAATATACGCAAATCAATAAATGTAATCCAGCATATAAACAGAATCAAAGACAAAAACCACATGATTATCTCAATAGATGCAGAAAAGGCCTTTGACAAAATTCAACAACCCTTCGTGCTAAAAACTCTCAACAAATTAGGTATTGATGGGACTTATCTCAAAATAATAAGAGCTATTTATGACAAACCCACAGCCAATATCATACTGAATGGGCAAAAACTGGAAGCACTCCCTTTGAAAACTGGCACAAGACAGGGATGCCCTCTCTCACCACTCCTATTCAACATAGTGTTGGAAGTTCTGGCCAGGGCAATTAGGCAGGAGAAGGAAATAAAGGGTATTCAATTAGGAAAAGAGGAAGTCCAATTGTCCCTGTTTGCAGATGACATGATTGTATATCTAGAAAACCCCATTGTCTCAGCCCAAAATCTCCTTAAGCTGATAAGCAACTTCAGCAAAGTCTCACGATACAAAATCAATGTACAAAAATCACAAGCATTCTTGTATACCAATAACAGACAAACAGAGAGCCAAATCATGAGTGAACTCCCATTCACAATTGCTTCAAAGAGAATAAAATACCTAGGAATCTAACTTACAAGGGATGTGAAGGACCTCTTCAGGGAGAACTACAACCACTGCTCAATGAAATAAAAGAGGATACAAACAAATGGAAGAACATTCCATGCTCATGGGTAGGAAGAATCAATGTCATGAAAATGGCCATACTTCCCAAGGTAATTCATAGATTCAATGCCATCCCCATCAAGCTACCAATGACTTTCTTCACAGAATTGGAAAAAACTACTTTAAAGTTCATATGGAACCAAAAAAGAGCCCGCATCACCAAGTCAATCCTAAGCCAAAAGAACAAAGCTGGAGGCATCATGCTACCTGACTTCAAACTATACTACAAGGCTACAGTAACCAAAACAGCATGGTACTGGTACCAAAACAGAGATATAGATCAATGGAACAGAACAGAGCCCTCAGAAATAATGCCACATATCTACAACTATCTGATCTTTGACAAACCTGAGAAAAACAAGCAATGGGGAAAGGATTCCCTATTTAATAAATGGTGCTAGGAAAACTGGCTAGCCATATGTAGAAAGCTGAAACTGGATCCCTTCCTTACACCTTATACCAAAATTAATTCGAGATGGATTAAAGACTTAAACGTTAGACCTAAAACCATAAAAACCCTAGAAGAAAACCTAGGCAATACCATTCAAGACATAGGCATGGGCAATGTCTTCATGTCTAAAACACCAAAAGCAATGGCAACAAAAGCCAAAATCGACAAATGGGATCTAATTAAACTAAAGAGCTTCTGCACAGCAAAAGAAACTACCATCAGAGTGAACAGGCAACCTACAAAATGGGAGAAAATTTTTGCAACCTACTCATCTGACAAAGGGCTAATATCCAGAATCTACAATGAACTCAAACAAATTTACAAGAAAAAAACAAACAACCCCATCAAAAAGTGGGCAAATGACATGAACAGACACTTCTCAAAAGAAGACATTTATGCAGCCAAAAAACACATGAAAAAATGCTCACCATCACTGACCATCAGAGAAATGCAAATCAAAACCACAATGAGCTACCATCTCACACCAGTTAGAATGGCAATCATTAAAAAGTCAGGAAACAACAGGTGCTGGAGAGGATGTGGAGAAATAGGAACACTTTTACACTGTTGGTGGGACTGTAAACTAGTTCAATCATTGTGGAAGTCAGTGTGGTGATTCCTCAGGGATCTAGAACTGGAAATACCATTTGACCCAGCCATCCCATTACTGGGTATATACCCAAATGACTATAAATCATGCTGCTATAAAGACACATGCACACGTATGTTTATTGCAGCACTATTCACAATAGCAAAGACTCGGAACCAACCCAAATGTCCAACAATGATAGACTGGATTAAGAAAATGTGGCACATATACACCATGGAATACTATGCAGCCATAAAAAATGATGAGTTCATGTCCTTTGTAGGGACATGGATGAAATTGGAAATCACCATTCTCAGTAAACTATCGCAAGAACAAAAAACCAAACACCGCATATTCTCACTCATAGGTGGGAATTGAGCAATGAGAACACATGGACACAGGAAGGGGAGCATCACACTCTGAGGACTGTTGTGGGGTAGGGGGAGTGGGGAGGGATAGCATTAGGAGATATACCTAATGCTAAATGACGAGTTAATGGGTGCAGCACACCAGCATGGCACATGTATACATATGTAACTAACCTGCACATTGTGCACATGTACCCTAAAACTTAACGTATAATAATAATAAAATTTAAAAAAATCAAACAGCACAAAAGAGTATGAGTAGGGCTCTCTCTCTACCATGCCATACCCTGACCACCAGTCTCTAATAGCAACCAACCACAAAGTCTTTAAAAAATTCTAGTAAGTGTCCCATATATGTTCTACATCTTTTTCCCCTTACCAAGTCTCAGAGATTTGAGAAGGTACTTCATCTTTCTTCATAGCATTTATCACTCCCTGACACTACGGTATTTATCCATTTATTTATCATCTGCTCTCTTTCTTTAATGTAAGCTCTATATCAGTATGTTCTTTTCTGTACTCCTAGTATCAAGAATAGTGTCTGGCATACAGAAGGGCTCAAAATTTGTTGGATGAATGAATAAATCATACCCCATCTATTAAAAAAAACTGACAATGTGCAATATAAAGATGAATAGTAAAATTCATGCCGATTATTTAAAGTTTCAATTTTCCTTTATTTAGAACAACATTAAATAACAAAAAACACCAGAAGTTGAGAGAGGAGAGAGACCAAAGCAAAAAGGGAAAAGAATTATATTTTAATACTCTTAATGGCATTTTTTCCCTACTTTTTGAACAAAAGGCCTACATTTTCATTTTACAAGCACCACATATTCTACAGCTAGTCCTGTTTTTAACAAGCCTCCCAGAGATTCTGATGTAAGGGCAGGATTGAGAAGCACTGGAGCAGATTACTTTTTTTTTTTTTTGACACGGAGTTTCACTCTGTCACCCAGGCTAGAGTGCAGTGGCGCGATCACGGCTCACTGCAGCCTCTACCTCCTGGGCTGAAGCAATCCTCCCACCTCAGCCTCCCGTGTAGCTGGGACTACAGGCGCTCGCCACTACACCCGGCTGATTTTTGTAATTTTTGTAAAGACCAGTTTTCGCCATGTTGCCCAGGCTGGTCTTGACCTTCTGGGCTGAATCAAGTCTCCCACCTCGGCCTCACAAAGTGTTAGGCTTTCAGGCGTGAGCCCCCGCGTTTGGCCCAGGACCCCTGGCGGGGCCGAGACGTCGCAGGACTAGGAGTATTGGGTGGGGGCGTGCTGCCCTCTAGTGTCTCTGGCTGCCGTCTACCGCTACTCGCCACGCTTCTGCACCGGGCGGTAACCGGCTGTGTGAGCTCCGGTGGTTTTGCTGCCTGACACTACTCTGGGGCTTCCTGCCCAACTTCTTGGAAATTCTAGCTCTTGGGCATTAACAAAGGTGCTCACCTGTAAAAGTGTTGCCGCTGAGTCGCAGCAACTATGCACCTCTGTCCCCGGCACCTTGGTATATTTGAGATGTTCACTAGTATTTTCTGAGTATGAGACACAGCGAAGCTCTTTCATAAGGCTTATGTGGAGAGACAAGTCTCACACCAGTGGCATGTCAGTCACATTTTTCTTTACAAGGCGATAGGACTCATGGGTACGTATGAATTGGTAGCCATGAACAGTTCCTTGAAGAAATTCTATTGCAATCATTGTGGCTCTGCAGCATTATAATGAAAGCAGAGTCTGGCTTAAAGCAAGTTTTCTAGAAACAAATGAAGAAGAATCCTTGATAGTTGTGCAGCCCTCCAGCGTCCACAGAGGCTTTTCGTGTACTTCATCCCCGTCGTTTGCTGTTCGCTCTCAACCACGAGGCAGTAAGGGCAAATGTGATGATCCATGCCCACATCGTGAGAAATGCCAGGCTTAGCTGTGATCATTACATGAATGCGCCCTTGTTCAGGAAGACACTGATCCCACTGTCCTGTCCGCACAAGCACCCTTCATCAATGAGTCCCAAACCAGTAAATAAACCTATGCTAAAGGCCTACCCTGCAAAAAGACATGAGACTATTTTTGGCTCAGCCCTTGGCTGAGCTCTGAGGCAGAGGAACAAAGGCCAGGCAAGTTGCTGGAGAGGAGTTTGCAGCAGATGGTTTTAATGATTTGGTGGGAGGGCAGTGGCTGTAGGTTATCTGTGAGGTAAGTAGTGCACCGGCAGGAGCAGGTGCAGGATTTGCAGAACATGGTGATTCTGCTGGGGGCAAGAGGTCAGGCTAACGGGTGATAGAACTGTTACAGCCACATAGAGGGCAGCAGCAGCTGCAGGGAGCCGGAGCTGTTTGGATAGGTAATATGGTGCTCTGCTCACCTCTTTTTCAACTTATTGGCGAGGAAGAGGGTCCCACTTTAGGATTCTGGGGATGGCTGAACACCCTACACCCAACACTGGACAGAAGAGATTGACAGCATTTTACTACTCACATGTACATTCACCACTCACAGAAGGAGGACTCCGCACACTATGCAGGGCCGCATGAGGTTGCACTCAGGAAAAGAGGGAAAAAACAAGGGCCATAGGAGGCAGGTTTTATAATAACATGATGAGGTGTTGGTGCCTCAGGGAGGATGTGATTGGCTTGTTTGAACAATTCTATGGATTGGGTACAGCTGGTCCAGCTGATAGAGAAACTAGTGAGTGGGGGTGAACATAACTGGGCAGAGCTGGTGAACTCATGGTTAGGCCTTTGGAGTCCTTTAAGGTTCTAAGATATCAAGGCAGCATGTTTTAGGCCTAATAATACTTACAGGGCAGCTCAGTGACAGCAGCAAGATGGCTGATTAGAAACACCTGGCATTTGTGTCCACTACAAAAAGGAACAAGGCAATGAATAAACAGCTAAGATTTGACTGCAGTATTGAGGGGAGAGCGGTGGAGTGCAGTGGGGGAGTGGAGATGCGCCTGTGGTGACGGGAGCAGTGAGGAGGCACCCAGCCTCTGAAGCCCCACCTCCCTCGCCAGATTGGGTTAGCCTAGAATCAGGTAGGACTTCCCTTTGAGGGGAAAAGGTAAGCAGAAGATCCTCCCCAGTGCCTGCTGCCACTGCAAACACCCACAGTCCTTACTACAGGAGAATCCCACAGTCCTCACAAGTCCTGAGCCCAGTATAGAGAGCTGCCTAATATTCACACAGCTACATTGCCCTGCATTAGAAGAGCAAGATGTGTACTGCCTATCCCCCGCCAATCCCCTGTGAGCCAAGCTGCTGCAGCGTGATGCCATCTTGAGACAAAAGCCACCTCTGAAGTGTACCCTGCTCTGGGGGCCAGTAGCCACTGCACCTCCCCAGCACTGTGGCTCCATCTTCATTATGTCAAGCCCACAAGGGTTGCTGAATGCCGCAATCCCAGGTGCATGGAACCTGGGACCAGGATCAGCTGTGACTTGGGTCCTGCACAGCAGGGAAAGCAATCCCTGCTGCCTATACTTCCAGCCAGAGGAACAGTCTGCCAGTTCACCTAGGGCAAACCCACTCCTAAGCTGGTGAACCCGCCCTTAAGCCAGCCAAGCCACTGTGTGTCCTGCCCCAAGCAGGAGCTGTCCCCAAACCACCAAACAACTGATATGCCCACAGGCTGGTGGAGTAGCTACACGTCCACACCCAGAGCCTGAGAAACAGGCCCCATGTCCGTTACCCTGTTCCTGCCCAAGGCTCCATGCCTGCTATCAAGGTCTGAGAAACATCCCTGCAGGGCTACTCTTGGCAAAGATGCACCCAGGCCAGCTGAGCAGCCTTGTGCCTATGCTCCTGGCCTGATGAATAGCCCCATGGGAGACTCAGCAAACATATCCCCAAGCCAGCCAAGCAGACTTGCGATGTCATCTTGGACCTGAGAAATAGCCCTGTGGGCTGCCCTCAGCAGACATACACCAAAACCAGCTAAGAAACAATATGGCTATGTCCCAGTCCTGAGAAATAGCCCATGGACCACCCCTGCCAGGTACACCCCAAGGCAGACTGAGCAACCACACATGTTCTCCTAACCAGAGTAATAGCCCTATGGCCCTAATCCCAGCAAGCCAGACCCCAAACTGGCCAACACACCATGTGCATATATATGCACCACTAACCTGAGAAACAGCCCAGCAAGTCTACCCCCAGCAAAGGAGCACCACCACTTCCATAAACTATTACAGCCTAGCCCACTGAGACACATGCAAACATCACTAGCATGGATTACAACTGACGAAACTATATAGAGACTACACTTTTGCATCCACCTAGAACCAAAGCCAATGCACTTCACCAAACCAACACCCCAAGACCCATCCATATGAATAAGCCTTTCCCTATGAAATCTAACCCATAAAATGAGAAAAGGTGACTGTTCCACCAGATTCGTAGAACTCAACATAGGGACACATCAAACATGAAAAAGCAAGGAAATATGAAATCTCCAAAGGAGATTATCCCTGTTTGCACATGACATATTATACATAGAAAACCCCAAACTATACCCTGCCAAAAATGTTAGAGATGATAAACACATTCAGCAAAGTTGCAGGATACAAAATCAACATACAAAATCAGTAGCATTTCTATATGTGAACACCAAACTAGCTGAAAAAGAAATCAGGAAAGCAATCACATTTACAAAAGCTACAAAAAAAAAAAAACTAGAAATAAATTTAACCAAAGAAGTGTAGGATCTCTACAAAGAAATCTATGAAAAACACTGAGGGGCAGGGTGCAGTGGCTCACACCTGTAATCCCAGCACTTTGGGAGACCGAAGTGGGTGGCTCATGAGGTCAGGAGTTCAAGACCAGCCTGGCCAACATGGTGAAACGCTGTCTCTGCTAAAAATACAAAAAGTGCCTAAGTGTGGTGGCGGGTGCCTGTAATCCCAGCTACTCAGGAAGCTGAGGCAGGAGAATTGCTTGAACCTGGGGGTTGAGGTTGCAGTGAGCCAAGTCACGCCACTGCACTGCAGCCTGGGTGACAGAGCAAGACTCCATCTCAAAAAAGAAAAGAAAAGAAAAGAAAAACACTGATGAAGGAATCTGAAGAGGATAAAAGCAAATAAGAAGACATTCCATGCTCACAGACTGGATGAATTAATATTCTTAAAATGACCATTGTACCCAGAGTGATCTACAGAGTCAATGCAATCCCTATGAAAATACCAATGACATTCTTCACAGAAATAGAAAAAAAACCCTTAAAATTTATATGCAACCATAGAAGACCTCGAATAGCCAAAATCAATCCTGAGCAAAAAGAACAAAGCTGGAGGCATCACACTGCTTGACTTCAAAATATACTACAAAGCTCTAGTAGGCAAAACAGCATGGCACTACCATAAAGGTGACACATAGACCAATGGAACAGACTAGAGAACCAAGAAATAAATCCATGAATTTACAGCCAACTGATTTTCAACAAAAGCACCAGGAACATACTCTGGGGGAAAAACACTCTCTTCTTAAGTGGCAAAATAGAATATCCATATGCAGAAGAATGAATACTCACCATACAAAAAAATCGGGCCAGGCACAGTGGCTCACACCTGTAATCCCAGCACTTCGGGAGGCCAAGGTGGTTGGATCACCTGAGGTCGGGAGTTCGGGACCAGCCTGACCAACATGGCAAAACCCCATCTCTACTAAAAATACAAAATTAGCCAGGCGTGGTGGTGCACTGCTATCATCCCAGCTACTCAGGAGGCTGAGGCACAAGAATCACTTGAACCTGGGAGGCAGAGGTTGCAGTGAGCTGAGATCATGCCACTGCCCTCCAGCCTGGGCAACAAGAGCGAAACTTTGAGAAAGAAAGAGAGAAAGAGATCAACTCAAAATTAATTACAGGGTGAAGAGTAAGACCAAAAACTTTAAAACTACCAGAAAAAAACATAAGAGAAATGCTTCAGGACATTGGTCTGGTAATACGTTTTATGAATAAGACCTCAAAAGCACAGGCAACAAGAGCAAAAATAAACAAATGAGATTATACCAAACTGAAAAGCTTCTGCACAGCAAGGAAATAATCAACAGAGTGAATAGACAACCAACAGAATGGGTAAAAATATTAACAAACTATTCATCTAACAGGTGATTTATATCCAGATTATACAGGCTGAGCACAATGGCACACACCTGCAATCCCAGCTGCTATTGGGTGGCTGAGGCAGGAAGATTGCTTGAGTCCAGGAGTTCAAGGTTAGAGTGAGCTATGATTGCTCTACCACACTCCAGCTTGGGCAACAGAGCAAGACCCTGTCTCTAAAAATAATAAAATTAAAATATTAATAATCATAATTAAAATTAAAAGCAACATACAAGGAACTCAAACATCTCAACAGCAAACAACAACAATCCAATTAAAAATGAGCAAATGATCTGAACAGACATTTCTCAAATATACAAAAAATATACAACAAATATACAAAAAAAATGCTCAACATCACTGTCAGAGAAATGCATATCAAAACCAAAATGAGGTATCATCTCATCCCAGTTAGAATGCCTATTATCAAAAAGAAAAAAATTAATGCTGATGAGGATGCAGAGAAAAGGGAATTCTTCATTTTTTATTTTTGTGGGTACATTGTAAGTGTATATATTTATGGAATATATGAGATATTTTTATACAGGCATACAATGTGTAATAATCACATCAGGATAAATGGGGTATCCATCACTTCAAGCATTTATCCTTTGTCTTACAAACAATCCAGTTATGCTTTTTAAGTTACTTTTAAATATACAATTAAACTATTATTGACTATAGTCACTCTGAAGTGCTATCGAATACTAGATTTCATTCATTCCTTCTATTTTTTTACCTATTAACCAATCCTACTTCCCCCCAACCCTCCAACTACCCCTCCCAGCCTCTGGTAACCATTATTCTACTCTCTCTCTCTCCATGAGTTCAATTGTTTTCATTTTTAGCTCCCACAAATGAGTGAGAACATACAAAGTTTGTATTTCTATGCATGGCTTATTTCACTTAACATAATGACTTCCAGTTACAACCATGTTGTTGCAAATGACAGAACCTCATCGTTTTTTATGGGTGATTAGTACTCTGTTGTGTGTATGTACCATATTTGCTTTATCAAGTCATCTGCTGATGGACACTTAGGTTGGTTCCAAATCTTGGCTATTGTGAATAGCACTGCAATAAACGGGAGTACAGGTACCTCTTTGATATACTGACTTCTTTTCTTTTGGCTGTATATCTAGGAGTGGGATTGCTGGGTCATATGGTAGTTCTATTTTTAGTTTTTTGGGAAACCTCCAAACTATTCTCCATAGTGGTTTACTAATTTACATTCCCTCAACAGTGTACAAGGGTTCCTTTTTCTCCACATCCTTGCCAGCTATTTCTATTGCCTGTCTTTTGGATAAAAACTATTTTAACTGGGGCAAGACGATATCTCATTGTAGTGATTTTCATTTTCATTTTCATTTTCATTCAGATAGGTTTTCATTTATCTGATGATCACTTATGTTGAGCACCTTTTCTTAGACCTGTTTGCCATTGGTATGTCTTCTTTTGACAAATATCAGTTCAGGTATTTTGCCCATTTATAAATCAGATTATTTGATTTGTTTCCTATAGAGTGCTCCTAATATATTCCAGAGCTCTTGTCAGATGAATAGTTTGCAAATATTAATTTCTTGTCAGAGAGATCGTTTGTAAACATTTTTTCCATTTGTGGGTTGTCTCTTCACTTTGTTGATTGTTTCCTTTGCGTGCGGAAGCTTTTTAACTTAGTGTGATCCCATTTATCTTTTTTTGCTTTGGTTGACTGTACTTGTAGAGTATTACTCCATACATTTTTGGCCAGTCCAATGTCCTGGAGAGTTTCCCCAATGTAGTTTCATGGTTTGACGTCTTATATTTAAGTCTTTAATACATTTTGAAATCAAAATTTAAAAACTAGACCCAATCGATTGACTTTTGTATATGGTGAGAGATATGGATCTAGTTTCATTCTTCTGCATATGGATTTCCAGTTTTTCCAGCAGCATTTATTGAAGAGACTGTCTTTTCTCCAACGTATTTTCTTGGCACCTGTGTCAAAAATGAGTTCGCTGTAGATGCATGGATTTGTTTCTGAGTTTATTCTGTTCCATTGATCCATGTGTCTGTTTTTATGCCAGTACCATGCTGTTTTGGTTACTGTACCTCTGTAGTACAATTTGAAGTCAGGTAATGTGATTCCTCTAGTTTTGTTCTTTTGCTCAGGATAGCTTTGGCTATTCTGTTCCTTTTGTAGTTCCATATACATTTTAGGATTGTTTTTTCTATTTCTGTGAAGAATGTCATTGGTGTTTTGATAGGTATTATGTTGATTCTGTATATTGCTTTGGGTAGTATAGACATTTTAACAACATGGAGCTTTTCGATACATGAGCATGGAATATATTTTTATTTTTTGTGTCCTCTTCAATTTCTTTCATCAATGTTTCATAATTTTTATCATAGAGATCTTTCACTTGTCTGGTTAATTCCTAGGTATTTAATTTTACTTGTAGCTGTTATCAGCGGGATTACTTTCTTGATTTCTTTTTCAGATTGTTATTACATATAGAATTGCTACTGATTTTCATATGTTGATTTTGTATCTTACCACTACTAAATTTGTTTATTAGCTCTAATAGTTTTTTGGTGAAGTTTCTAGGTTTTTCCAAATATAGAATCATATCATCTGCAAACAAGGATAATTTGATGTTTTTGCCCTTTGTTTCTTACTCTTACCTGGATGCTGTAGCTAGGACTTCCAGTACAATGGTGAAAACAGGCATCTTTGTCATGTTCCAGATCTAGAGGAAAGGCTTTTTGTTTTTCCCCATTCAGTATGATACTAGCTGTGGTTTTGTTGTACATGGCTTTTATTATGTTGAGGCATGTTCCTTCTATATGCAGTATTTTGAGGGTTTTTATCATGAAGGGATGTTAAATTTTATCAAATGCTTATCATTAATTGAAATGATCACATGATTTGGTCCTTCATTCTGTTGATATGATATATCACATTGATTGATTTGCATATGTTGAACCATCCTTGTATCCCTGGGATAAATTCTACTTGTTCATGATGAATGATCTTTTCAATGCATTGTTGAATTTGGTTTGCTAGTATTTTGTTAATGACATTTCCGGTAATGTTCATCAGGAACACTGGCCTGTGGTTTTCTGTTTTTGATGTGTCTTTGTCTGGTTTTGGTGTCAGGGTAATACTGCCCTTGTAGAATGACTTTGGAAGTATTCCCTCCTCCTCTATTTTTCAGAATAGTTTGAGTAGGATTGGTATTAGTTCTTCTTTAAATGTTTGGTAAAATTCAGCAGTGACGCTATCAGGTCCTGGGCTTTTCTTTGCTGGGAGGCTTTTATTATGGCTTTGATCTCATTACTTGTTACTGAACTGTTCAGGTTTTGGATTTCTTCATGATTCAGTGTTGGTAAGTTGTTTGTGTCTAGGAATTTATCCATTTCTCCTAGGTTTTCCCATTTATTGGCATATAGTTGCCCCTAGTAGCCTCTAATGATCTTTTGAATTTCTGTGGTGTTGGTTGAAATGTCTCCTTTTTCATCTCTGATTTTATGTGAGTCTTCTCTCTTTTTTCTTAGCCTGGCTAAAGGTTTGTCAATTTTGTTTATCTTTTCAAAAAGTCAACTTTTTATTTCATTGATCTTATGTATTTTTTACATTTCAATTTCACTTATTTCTGCTCTGAACTCTATTATTTCTTTTCTTCTACTAACTTTGGGTTTTGTTTTGTTTCGCTTTTATGGTTCTTTAAGATGCATCATTAGGTTATCTGAAATTTTTCTACTTTTTTGATGTAGGCACTAATAGCTATAAACTTCCCCGTTAGTATTGCTTTCACTGTTTCCTATAGGTTTTGGTATGTTGTGTTTCCATTATCATTTGTTTCAAATTTTATAATAATTTCCTTGTTATTTTTTTCATTGACCCACTGGTCATTTAGGAACATATTATTTAATTTCCATCTGTTTATATAATTTCCAAATTTTCTCTTGTTATTGAGTTCTAGTTTTATTCCATTGTGCTCAGAGAAGATACTTGATATTATTTCAATTTTTTTAAGTTTTAAGAGTTGTTTTATGGCCTAACAAATGATCTATCCTTGAGAATGATCCATGTGCTGAGGAGAAGAATGTATCTTCTGCAGCCAGTGGGTAAAATGTTCTATAAATATCCATTAGAGGTCCATTTGGTCTATAGTGCATATTAAGTCTGATTTTTCTTTGTTGATTTTCTGTCTGGATGATTTGTTTAATGCTGAAAGTGGGGTGTTAAAGTCTCCAGCTATTATTATACTGGGATCTATCTCTCTCTTTAGCTCTAATCATATTTGTTTATATATCTGGGTGCCCCAGTATTGGGTGAATATATATTTACAATTGCCATATCTCTTGCTGAATTGGCCCCTTCATTATTATATAATGACCTTCTTTGTCTCTTTTTACAGTTTTTGTCTTCAAATCTATTTTGTCTGATATAAGGATAGCTACTCCTACTCTTTTATTTATTTATTTTTTTTGAGACAGAGTTTTGCTCTTGTTGCCCAGGCTAGAGTGCAATGGCACAATCTCTTCTCACTGCAACCTCCACCTCCTGTGTTCAAGTGATTCTCCTGCCTCAACCTCCCAAGTATCTGGAATTATAGGCACCTGCCACCATGCCTGGCTAATTTTTGTATTTTTAGTAGAGGTGGGGTTTCACCATGTTGGCCAGGCTAGTCTTGAACTCATGACATCAGGTGATCCACCCTCCTCGGCCTCCCAAAGTGCTGGGATTACAGGCTTGAGCCACTGCACCCAGCCAACTCCTGCTCTTTTTTGGTTTCCATTTGCATGGAGTATCTTTTCCCATCCATTTATTTTCAGCCCATATGTGTCTTTATAGGTGAAGTGTGTTTTTTTGTAGGCAACAAATCACTGGGTCTTGTTTTTTTATTGATTCAGCCACTCCATGTCTTTTGATTGAAGAGTTTAGTCCATTCACATTCAATGTTATTATGGATAATAACATAGTAAAATACTAAGTCCATAATAAAGACTTACTCCTGTCATTTTTAAAAAATTTGTTTTCTGGTTGTTTTGTGGTATTGTCTTCCTTTTTTCCCTTCTTTCTGTCTTCCTCTTATTGAAAATGATTTCCTCTGGTTGTATGTTTTAATTTCTTGCTTCCTGTTTTTTGTGTATCTATTGTATGTTTTTCTGATTTTAAGTTACTATGAGACTTGCAAATAATATCTTATAACATTATTTTAAACTGATTATAACACTGATTGCATAAATAAACTAATAAACATGCAAAGGGAAAACTAACAAAAACTCTGTATTTTAACTTCATACCCCCACTTTATTTATTTATTTATTTATTTATTTATTTATTTATTTATTTATTTATTTTTGAGATAGAGTCTCGCTCTGTCACCCAGACTGGAGTGCAGTGGCGTAGTCTTGGCTCACTGCAACCTCTGCCTCCTGGGTTCAAGCAATTCTCATGCCACACCCTCCTAAGTAGCTGGGACTACAGGCATGCACCAGCCAGTCAATTTTTGTATTTTTAGTGGAGACAGGGTTTCACCATGTTGACCAGTCTGGTCTCAAACTCTTGGCCTCAAGTGATCCACCAATACCCTGCTTTTTAACTTTGTTGTTGTTTCTATTTCTTATTGTACTATGTCTTGAAAAGTTGTTGGAGTTATTATTTTTGATTGTTTCATCTGTGTTTTTCTGTGTAGTTACAATTACCAGTAAGTTTTGTACATTTGGATCATTTTTTGCTGCTCATTAATGTTCTTTTCTTTTAGACTGAAGCATTTCTTGTAGGACAGGTCTGGTATTGATGAAATTCCTCAGCTTTTGTTTGCCTGGGAAAGTGTTTAATTCTCCTTCATGTGTGAAGGATATTTTTGCTAGATATACTATTCTAGGGTAAAAGTTTTTTTCCTTCAGCACTTCAAATATGTCATATTATTCTCTCCTGCCCTGTAAGGTTTCCACTGAAAAGTCTGCTGCCCTGCCAAACATATTGGAGCTCCATTACATGTTGTTCCTTTTCTCTTGGTGTTTTAGGATCCTTTCCTTTTTATTTTAAAAGTTGAGACAGCGGGGGATGGGGGGCAAGGGGAGGGAGAGCATTAGGACAAATACCTAATGCATGTGGGGCTTAAAACCTAGATAACAGGTTGATAGGTGCAGCAAGCCACCATGGCACATGTATACCTATGTAACAAACCTGCACATTCTGCACATGTATCCCAGAACTTAAAGTAAAATTAAAAAAAAAAAAAGAATGAATAACAAGAGAACTGAACAGAAAAAAAAAATTGAGACAGGGTCTCACTGTGTTGCCCAGGCTGGTCTTGAACTCCTGACCTCAAGCAATCCTCCCACCTTGGCCTTTCAAGGTGCTCAGATTAGAGGTGTGAGCCACCACACCTGGCTGGATCCTTTATATATCCTTGACTTTAAGGAGTTTGATTATTAAATGCCTTGAGGTAGTCTTCTTTGGGTTAAATTTGCTTGGTATTCTATAACTTTCTTGTACTTGAATATTGATGTCTTTCTCTAGGTTTGGGGAGTTCTTTGTTACTATGCCTTTGAAGAAACTTCTATATGTATCTCTCTATCGCCTCTTTCAGACCGATAACCCTTAGATTTGCCCTTTTGAGGGTATTTTCTAGATCTTGTAGGCATGCTTCATTGTATTTCATTCTTTTTTCTTTTGTCTCCCCTGGTTATGTATTTTTAAGTAGCCTGTTTTTAAGCTCACTAATTCTTTCTTCTGCTTGATCAATTCTACAATTAAGAGACAGATGCATTCCTCAGTATGTCAATTGTGTTTTTCAACTTGAGAATGTCTACTTGATTCTTTTTAATTATACCAATTTCTTTGTTACATTTATCTGATAGAATTCTGAATTTTTTCTCTGTGTTATATTGAATTTATTTGAGTTTCCTCAAAACAGCTATTTTGAATTCTCTGTCTGAAAAGTCACATACTTCTTTCTCTCTGGGATTGGTCCCTGGTGCCTTATTTCATTCATTTGGTGAGGTCATGTTTTCCTGGATGGTCTTGATGGTTGCAAATGTTCACCAGTGCATTAGGCATTGAAGAGTTAGGTATTTATTGTAGTCTTCTCAGTTTGGGCTTGTTCATACCCATCCTTCTTGGGAAGACTTTCTAATTATTCAAAGGGATTTGGGTGTTGTGATACTATGTTTTTGATCACTGTAGCCATATCTGCATTAAGGGACGCCCCAACCACCTTGGTAACTCTATGGCTAAGATCCAGAAGAATTATCTGGATTACCAGGCAGAAACTCTTGTTCTCTTCCCTTACTTTCTCCCAAACAGAGTCTCTCTATGCTGAGCCATCTGAGGCTGGGGGTGTGGTGAAACAAGCAAGCCTGTGGCCACCACAACTAGGACTGTGCTGGGTCAGACCTGATCTCACGAGAACTCACTCACTATTGTGAGGACAGTACCAAGGGGATGACACTAAACCATTCATGAGAAATCTGCCCCCATGATCCAATCACCTCCCACCAGGCCCCACTTCTAACACTGGAGACTATAATTGAACATGAGATTTGGGTGGGAACACAGATCCAAACCATATCCAAGTATAACATACATACAGAAAAATATACAAATCTCAAGTGTACATCTTGATGAATTAGCACAAAGGGACCACACCAAATTATCCACTTCTATGATATTTGAGAAATATAATGTTACTAGCACCTCAAAACTCTATTGTATCCCCTCCTAATCACCTCCTACCCTCCCTTCTCCCCAAAGGTAATTTCTATCCTTTTAACATCCTTATTTTTGAACTGTAAATGAAATTATATAGTATATACTATTTTATTCAACATTATGTTTGTGCAGTTACGTATAGGAGTAATTCATTCATTTTCATTGTTGTTTAGCATTTCATTATATGAATATGTCACAATCTACTTATCCATTCTACTGCTGATGTACAATATTTTTTTTTGCTTCTGGTTTGAGATTATTATAAATGATGCCACCTTGAACTTTCAAATATATGTCTTTTGGTGAACACGTGTGTGTTTCTCTTGAGTATAAATCTAGCAGTGGAATTTCCGGGTCATCAGGAAATGCACATATTCAGCTTTACCAGATCCTGCCAAACAGTTTTCTATAGTGGTTGTACCAATTTACACTGCCACCAGCTGTGTTTGGGAGTTTCAGTTGCTCCAGATCCTCATCATCTCTTGGCATTGTCAATTTTTTAAATTTCATATTCTCTGGTAGGCCTATATTAGTAACTCATTGTGGCTTTATTTATATTTCTGAGATTTCAAGTGAGTTTGCAAACCTTTTCATTTGTTAGCAATTTATTAATAGTTATCTTTTCCTGTAAAATGCTTGTTCTGGTCCCTTGCTCATTTGTCTGTTGGGTTGTCTGTCTGTTTCTTGTTGATTTGTATAACTTTTTTTTCTTTTTAAGAGACAAGGTCTTGCTCTATCACCCAGGCTGGAGTGCAGTGGTGTAATCATAGTTCAATGCAGCCTTGAGCTCCTGGGCTCAAGCGATCCGTGCACTTCAGCCTCCCAAGTGGTTAAAACTATAGGCACAGGCCACTCTGCCCTGCTAACTTTTTAATTTTTTTGTAGAGACAGGGTCTTGCTGTGTTGCCCAGGCTGGTCTTGAACTCCTGGCCTCAAACAACCCCCACCCCCCAACCCACAGTCTCCCAAAGCACTGGGATTGTAGGTGTGTGCCACTATGTCCTGCAGAACTTTATATATTCTGAATACAACCGCCTTGTTGGCTAAACATTTTGTATATATATTTTTCCCCTTCTGTACTTACCTTTATACTCTCTTAAAGGCATCTTTTGATAAATAAAAGATCTTGATTTTAATGTAGTCCAATGTGTCAATCTTTCTTTATGATTAGTGCTTTTTGTGTCCTTTTTAAGAAATTTTTCCTAACCTCAAGGTAATGAAGATAGTCTTCTATGTTATATTCTAGAAGCTTTATGATTTGTTTGACCACCCTAAAGCAACAGGATGGGCCCACACCCAAAATCTGATTTGAATATCAAGACTGATGATGCCACACACAATAAGAGGGTATAAAAAGGTTTATTATTTACATAATTGAGGTCTCTGGGAGCAGGGCATGCCTCCCAAGCTGCCAAAATTTTGGCTTTATTGAGCAAGGAAAGGAGACTGACTCACAGTTTTTAATGTTTGCTTAGTATTCTTTATCAGATTTCATCCATTCCTTGTTTGAGAAAAGTTTTCCTAATGAATGAATGTTTAATATTATCAAAATATTTTTCTACATCAATATTATCATACAATTTTTATTCCTAATTCTCTTAATGTGAATTGCAGTGATTGCTCTTTCAATCTTGCACTTGCTTTGTACTCCTGAAATAAACCCAATTCACTCATAGTGTATTGCTGATTTTATATGTGGATTTAGTTTGGTAATCTTTTGTTTAGGTTGCTAATATCTATGTTCATAAATGAAACTAGCTTGTACTTTTCTTTTCTCTTACTATAGTTGTCAGGCTTTGGTATCTCATGGCTGGTAGCTAAGCTAGAGGCACTGGCAATTCCAGATCACCATAGTTCAATCAGAGACTGAGAGGATTCAAAGTAGATTCAATTCCTGTGACAGCTTATCTATTTCCAGTTCATACTTACTGCTATGGTACAGCTCTTCAGGATTGACCAAAAGCCTGTGGTTTTTACCAGAACCCCTCCTTCTTATCAAGCAAATTCCAAGTTTTGTTCCCTTTAACCTATAAATCTTTCAAATTTTCTGCTCAGTTTTTCGGCCTGTTAGCCCTTGTCATTGACCTTAAGAGGAAGAACAGCCCCAAATGTCAGGCTCACTTCAGTAAGCTTTCCCTCTCACTTGAATCTTGACCCCATAATTCCTCAGTGCTTTGGTAGTTTTACCAAAGTTTTTAAAGTAATTTTTGATAGTTTTATCAAACTTTTGTTGAGGTTTTACAATGCCTTTCAACATTATTTAAAAATATTTTGTCACTATTTTCTAGTTGTTCTTGGCAGGAGAAATGGTCTGAATCAACTTAATCTATCATTGGATTGAAAGTGCCCTAATTGTTTACTTTTGAAATGTTTTTTTAAACTATAGAAGTACAATGCATCTTCATTATTTGTTAGGGGGGTAAAGTTGTGGGTATATTTTTCCATTTTCAGAATTCTGAATGGGAAATGGAAAAATATACCCACAACTTTACCCCCCATAATAAATAATGCTATCAGTATGGGGTATTTCTGGTCTTTTTTCTCATGGACACATTTTTCCATGGTTATATACTCTTAGTGCTCAAATAATTTCACATGCTGGTTTTTTTCCTTTAACATCATTCCCGTCAGTATTTTACCTACCTACCTCTTATTGTAAATATCATTTCTTCTTGAAAAGCTAGTAAATTCTTTCCCCACCGCTTTTTTCATTCTCCTACGAGAGTACCTACAGCTACTTCTCACACTCCAGTGAAGCAGCTAGCCTATAAAATGAAGCTGATTGATGGATGGAAAATTGAGTAGCCCACTCTGTTGGTCCTCTTGACCATGGCTCACCAAGCTTGGCCAGTATAGCTGTGGATCCAAGAAGCCAGTATGGAGCAGCAAGAATCAGGAGGCTGATCAGAATTAACAACACTCCAGCTGTGGGGACTTAGTAGTCAGCCTACTTCAGCTCCTTCCTGACCTCTCTGCTCTGAGTCATGGAGGATAGTCTGCCAGCTGGCTGCTCCTTGCTCTAATCCCTCCTCTGCTCCTGTGTACTCAGTACACCCCTGCACTCCTTTAGCATCCATCCCAGCAAGGATAGCAGCTTCCGCCCAAGCCTTCTAGTTAGGAAATGATATTGTCTCTTCTGATTCTGTGCTAAAATATTCCTGTCAAGCTGTAACTAACCCCTGGCTTCCTGTTCAACACCTGTCTGGCTGGTGGAGCAGATGATTAATGAGTATGTCATGGACCTGGATTTTTTTTTTTAATCTTGCCAAGTCATGACAGGTGATATCTCCACCTCCATCCACTTGGAATGTTTCCGTATTAAAGATTACCTGATTTTGGCAAGACCTATTCTTTAGAGCAGCAGCTCCCAACCTTTTTTACACCCTGACACATTTGGGAAATGATATTCAAGTGCCCAGTGTTACCCAGTGCACAATTTCCAGCATATGTGCTGTAACTCTACCCCTTTCTCTCCCTCAGCAAAGCATTGCAGAATGAAAGTAAAAGTAGCATATTATAGAGATAAATTTAAGTTGCCTTTATTCTTTCATCATGTAAAACATTAAAATATTTTGGCACAATATTTAGTGACAAATGAACAAGGTTGAAAACCACTGTTCTGTGGTGATTCACCTCCTCATCAGAAAGCAATTACTAGGAACCTTCTGAGTATGCAGCACTGAGCCAGGTTGCAACCTACTTTGTAGTTGGCCATAAGCAAGCCAATTTTGTTATAGTTTTTACCCCAAATTTGAACTTACAGCTCTATGATTTTTGTGCATTACATCTTTCTCACTCTTACATATAAGCAGTTTATTGGTTCTTCAAAATTCCAAGCCTATTTATTCTCCAGTGAAGCCACTGATGATATCCAATTGAGCTTTGTTCCCCACTGACCACCACCCATGGTCCATCGTTATCTTCAGCCCCTAATCTTGAGTACTTTTGCCAGCTTGGAATTACAATTGCTCAGGAGAAACAGGGTGCTATGGTTTGAATGTGCCTCCCAAAGTTCATGTGTTGGAAACCTGATCTCCAGTGCAAAGGTATTAAGAGATGAGGCCTAATAAAAGGTAATTAGGTCACAAGAGCAGAGCCCTCATGAAAGGATTAATGCCGTTATCACAGGAGCAGGTTAGTTACCATGAGAGTAAGTTGTTATAAAGTGATTTCAGCCCCTAGTGCCTCCCTTTGTCTCATGCACTCACTTCTGCCTTCTGCCTTCCACCACGGGACGACTCACCAGATCCCAGCGTCATGTGCTTGGGCTTCCCAGCCTCTAGAACTGAGAACTGAATAAATCTCTGTTCATGATAAATTATCCAGTCTCAAGTATTCTGTTACAGCAGCAAAAACAGACTAAGACATAGGGAAAGGGTGGGAAAGGGACCAACCATCTCCAAAAGGAGAAAATGGTATGGTTATTAGACACCTATATAGGACCCACACGGGAATGTAAATTTTTCGCACAAACTCAAGAAGAGCTGTAAATATAAAAGTGACACTCCTAGGATATTGGAGGCATGCTCCCTGAAATTATAATGGTGGCTAATATCGTGAGTTCTTCCCAAAATCCCACGTAGTTAAAACAATTATTGGTCCTCATATTTCCAAGAGATAGATGTAGGTGAATTAGAAATAAATAGCCTAAAATAGTCCTTTCTGCAGTTATCTGGAGAAGTGAATATGAACTTTAGGGTTTACTATGTTTGTAAATAATCCTCTGAAATGGAAGAAGACGCTCTAGAGGGGTTAACCCTTTCTGTGCTTCAAGTCCAAATTTTCTCATTCTGTATTAAATTGTGTCCCCTTTCAGTAGAAAACTGGTCCTCACCTAAAGGTGCTTTATAGAGTTTACTACTTTGTCAAATTGTAACACCACATATCAGGTAGGTTAGGATTAAAATGTTTCTAAAAGACATGATTTTTTATAAAGGAAAAGCCTTTATACAGCATTTATATCTAGAGATAAAAGGTCTTTGAGCCTATAGGACATGCTTGTACTAGGGCTTGGGGAAAATGTTCAAGTGAGAGAATATACTGTTACTGAAACTATTTATCACGGGCTGCTTTTAACTACAGTGTTGTTGCAAGCCACATTGTGAAATACTAAATATTTTAGACTGGCAGGCATCTGTTCCAAATACCCAACTCTGCCATTGCAGTGAGAAAGCAGCCACAGACAATACATCAACAAATGGGCATGACTGTGTTCCAATAAAACTTTATTTACAAAAACAAGCAGTTCAATACCTGAACTATACTACATGTTCATGAAGCATGACTTTATTATAGGTAATTGTCTTGTTAAAGTGTGACTATTTTAAAATGCAAGTGTTTAATGCAAAGTTGTATAAATAAAGTGCATAATTTTTCACCCTGTTTAAAAAAAAGAAAAAAAGAAGCCGGGCATTGTGGCTCACACCTGTAGTCCCAGCATTTTGGGAGGCCAAGGCAGGAGGATCTCTTGAGTCAGGGAGCTTGAGACCAGCCTGGGCAACATAGAGAGACCCTGTCTCTATAAAAAAAATACAAAATAAAAATAAATTTTAAAAAAGAGTAGGTACACCACATTTGGTGACGTAGCTGGCAGTTGCTTTTTTTCTGTGATGGTGTGACAACCGTAAGTTAGTTGAGGCACAGTTCTTTGTTGGGGGGCCTGCAGCGATGGTACTGTAGTAGTGCCCAGAGGTATCTACTCTGAGGAAATGCTGAGAGTGAGCAAGGAGAGAGCTGCTCCAAGACTGGGCCACGGTCAGAGTCCAAGGTCATTGGTCCCCTCCCCATGCTATCCCACAGCCCACTCTCACTCCCAGCTCTGCTCCTCTGAACTTGAGTTTGTGAGGGGACCTCTTTGGGAGACTTTAATCTACTTATTTTCCAAGTGAGTTTTTCTTCTACATTCCTGAAATTAAAAGCTGATTAATATTCCCTTCAATCTGGGCATATTTGCGCTGTATCTTGCTGATATTTCACAAAATATAAATGTCCTTCTAATACAGATACAGATGTTCTATTTTTATATTCTCTTGGGCATTTCAATTGTGATTTTGAAGAGAAACAAATTAAATGGAAAAGGAATCTCCAAAGGTTCAGTACTCACTGGCAGATCTTTTATACCATGACTTCTATTCTCTCTGTACTTTCAAGAGTTTTCTCGACAAGTACATTGATATGGAACACACTGAGAATCACATATCCTGAGAGCACTTCCTGTTCTCTCCCCACCCCCCCATTTAAAACTAGTATGATGAAATACTTAAGCTGCACTGTTTGTCTTAGTTCCATCTGCTTAGAAAACAGAGGCTAGGCAAAGCTTAAGTACTAATTCTTCACAAGGACAGTCAACGAAAAGGGACATGAGACAGGAAAGGATGAAAAGCAAATAGAAGGTAGTACATTACACAGCCAGCCCAGCCGTCACTTGGCCATGCAGAACATCGCTGGACAGGCGATAGAGAAATACTACCAGGCCAGGTGCGGTGGCTCATGCCTATAATCCCAGCACTTTGGGAGGCCAAGGCAGGTGGATCACCTGAGGTCGGGAGTTCGAGGCCAGCCTGACCAACATGGAGAAACCCCGTGTCTACTAAAAGTACAAAATTAGCTGGGCGTGGTGGCACATGCCTGTAATCCCAGCTACTCAGGAGGCTGAGGCAGGAGAATCACTTGAACCTGGGAGGTGGAGGTTGCGGTGAGCCAAGATCATAGCATTGCACTCCAGCCTGGGCAACAAGAGTGAAGCTCCGTCTCAAAAAAAAAAGAAAAAGAAAAAGAAAAAGAAAAGAAAAGAAATACTGCCTTGTAACAATCTGTTAGAAGTGGAAAATAGAAAACTCATCTACCTGTCTAGTAGCCAGCCTTTAAGATAGCCCTTAATGATCTATATATATACGTGTGTGTGTGTGTGTGTTTCTAAACTTTTTTTACAAAAATGAGAGGACACAGGCCAGGCGCAGTGGCTCATGCCTGTAATCCCAACACTTTGGGAGGCCAAGGCAGGTGGATCACCTGAGGTCAGGAGTTCAAGACCAGCCTGGCCAACATGGTGAAACCCCGTCTCTACTAATAATACAAAAATTAGCCGGGCATGGTGGCACAAACCTGTAATTCCAGCTACTCGGGAGGCTGAAGCAGGAGAATTGCTTGAACCTGGGAGGCAGAAGTTGCAGTGAGCTGAGATCACACCACTGCACTCCAATCTGGGCGACAAGAGTGGAACTCCATAACCAAAAAAAAAAAGAGAGAGAGAGAAAGAGAGGACACTATATACACTTGTTTCACTTACATACGAGACCATATGTATCTACCTCATCCTTTTTAATGGTAGCATAATATTCCATTGTAAGGATATATAATAATTTATTTAATGAGCCTCATGCTTAGGTTGTTTCCACTGCTTCACTATTCTAAATAATTGAGGAGCCCTTCAGCCCACCACTGCACTGTGGGAACCCCTTTCTGGGCTGACCAAGGCTGGAGACAGCTCCCTCAGCTTGCAGGGAGGTGTGGAGGGAGAGGCGCCAGCGGGAACCGGGGCTGCGCGAGGTGCTTGCGGGCCAGCTGGAGTTCCAGGTGGGCGTGGGCTTGGCGGGCCCTGCACTCGGAGCAGCCGGCTGGCCCTGCCGGCCCCGGGCAATGAGGGGCTTAGCACCCAGGCCAGCGGCTGTGGAGGGTGTACTGGGTCCCCCAGCAGTGCCCGCCCACCGGCGCTGCGCTCGATTTCTTGCCTGGCCTTAGCTGCCTTCCCGCAGGGCAGGGCTCAGGACCTGCAACCCGCCATGCCTGAGCCTCCCACCCACTCCGTGGGCTCCTGGGCGGCCCAAGCCTCCCTGACTAGCGCCGCCCCCTGCTCCATGGCGCCCAGTCCCATCGACCACCCAAGGGCTGAGGAGTGCGGGCGCACGGCCGGGGACTGGCAGACAGCTCCACCCGCAGCCCCGGTGCGGAATCCACTGGGTGAAGACAGCCGGGCTCCTGAGTCTGGTGGGGACATGGAGAACCTTTATGTCTAGCTCAGGGATTGTTAATACACCAATCGGCACTCCGTATCTAGTTCAAGGTTTGTAAACACACCAATCAGCACCCTGTGTCTAGCTCAGGGTTTGTGAATGCACCAATCGACACTCTGTATCTAGCTACTCTGGTGGGGACTTGGAGAACCTTTGTGCGGACACTCTATATCTAGCTACTCTGGTGGGGAGGTGGAGAACCTTTGTGTCTAGCTCAGGGATTGTAAACGCACCAATCAGCGCCCTGTCAAAACAGACCACTTGGCTCTACCAATCAGCAGGATGTGGGTGGGGCCAGATAAGAGAATAAAAGCAGGCTGCCCCAGCCAGCAGCGGCAACACGCTGGGGTATCCTTCCACAGTGTGGAAGCTTTATTCTTTCGCTCTTTGCAATAACTCTTGCTGGTGCTCACTCTTTGGGTGCACACTGCCTTTATGAGCTGTAACACTCACCGCGAAGGTCTGCAGCTTCACTCCTGAGCCAGTGAGACCACGAACCCACTGGAAGGAAGAAACTCCGAACACATCCGAACATCAGAAGGAACAAACTCCAGACGCGCCACCTTAAGAGCTGTAACACTCACCGTGAGCCTCCACGGCTTCATTCTTGAAGTCAGTGAGACCAAGAACCCACCAATTCCGGACACATAATGATGCAGTGACTATCCTTTCATATGTCTTTGTGGAAATATATGAGTTTATCTATTAGGTAAATTCCCAGAAGGGGAACTGCTGGATCAAAGGCTATGTGCATTTCACATTTCTATAAGTACCCCTAAATGGCACTCCAAACGTTTGTTCCAATTTATGTTCCAACCATCATTATATAGGAGTGTCTCTTTCCTATACCTCTCCTAACATATTGTATAATCAAATATTATTTTTGTCAACGTGAAATGAAAATGAGATCTTGTTTTAACTTGAACTTTCTTACTATGAATAAAGTTGATCAGTTTCAAGATAATGAATAAATAGGTTTCTTACTCCTTCTCTAGAAAATCACCTCAAAACAACAAGAAAATTAGAAAACTGCAACTTGAATGAAACTAGGAAACAGCTAAAACCCAGAATCATGGTACATGAAAATGAAAAGTAGGTAGAGGAAATAGAAGTGTTCTGGCTCGGAAACAGTACTCAAACTCAGGAGGTTCCAGGGTTCCTTTAGAGATTAATGTCATTGGACATCCTAACACTGTCTGTTCTTCTCCATCATCCTCAGATACTGATGTTTTAACCTCTGGCCCATCACCTCAGGACCACAAATGGCTGCTCTAGGTATAAGCATGATGTCCATACTTCTTACCGAAGGGCAGGAAGCAAGGGAGCATAAGCTGGGGAGCTGTAAGCAAGTCCTCCTATATCCCGTCTCTTATATCAGAAAGAAACTCCTTCCCAGAAGTCCTCCCAGAAAATTTCCCCGTATGTTCTTAGTCAGAACTGGGTCCCATGTCCATCCTTAGATGTAAAGAAGTCTAGGCAGGGCGTGGTGGCTTACACCTGTAATCCCAGCACTTTGGGAGGCTGAGGCAGGCGGATCATGAGGTCAGGAGATCAAGACCATCCTGGCTAACACAGTGAAACCCCATCTCTACTAAAAATACAATTAGCCGGGCATGGTGGCAGGTGCCTGTAATCCCAGCTACTCAGGAGGCTGAGGCAGGAGAGTCGCTCAAACCCGGGAGGCAGAGATTGCAGTGAGCCGAGATTGCACCACCGCACTCCAGCCTGGGCGACAGAGCGAGACTCTGTCTCAATAAAAATAAAAAAAAAAATTAAAAAGTCTAAAAATTGGGACTCTGACAAAGGGGACCAATTGCTTT
Organism: Homo sapiens; assembly: GCF_000001405.40. NCBI lineage: Eukaryota > Metazoa > Chordata > Mammalia > Primates > Hominidae > Homo > Homo sapiens. The sequence continues at coordinate 34,738,300 of NC_000009.12, read as the reverse complement.
GATATCTATTGTTGATTAATAAATCACCCCCAAGTGAGTGGCTTAAAAAACAATTACAATATTATTATCTCTGTTTGTGGGACTGACTGGGATCAGCTAGGCAGTCTTGTTTGGGATCTGGCCACAGTGGCGGTCAGATAATGCTGGTGCTGGATCATCTAAAGACTCACTTATTCACATATCTGATGCCTGGGTTGAGAAGATAAATAGCTGAGGCTGTAACAACTGGGGGTCCTTGAACATCTCACTCTATTTCTATGTAGTCTCTCTGCATAATCTTCTGGACTTTCTGTATGGCTACTCAGGGATTCAAGGGCACGTATCCTGAGGAAAAAAAAAAAAAGCTAGACAAAAGCCATATTGCCTTTTATGACACAACAATGCTTACACTATCTTCTATTTGTTAAATCAGTCACAAAGATCTGTTCAGTGTCAAGAGGAGAGGAAACAGACACCATCTCATGATGACGAAGTGACAAGTTACAGTAAAAGCATGTCGGACTATAAATATCGTGTCAATTTTTGGAAAATATAATATGCCTCAGTTGGCTTTTAGAAATCACAATTCATCCTGGGGAACTGGGAATCGCAGTGTTCTCAGGGTTCTGCAGCTCTAACTAAAAATTAGGGTTCGTCATACATTGTTGGTGAAAATGTAAAATGGTGCAGTTACTATGGAAAACAGTTTGATAGGTCCTCAAAAAGTTAAACATAGAATTACCACATGACCCAGCAATTCTACTCCTATGTATATACCCAAGAGAACTGAAAACGGGAACAAAACCTTGTATACAAATGTGCATAGCAGCATTATTCATGGTAGCCAAAAACTGGAAATAATCCAAATGTCAATCAAATGATGAATGGATAAGCAAAATGTGGTATGTCCATGTAATTGATTATTCTTCAGCCATAAAAAGAAATAAAGTAGTAATAGGTTCCACAACATGGGTGAACCTTAAAAACATTGTGTTAAGTGAAAGAAGTCAGGTGCAAAAGGTCACATATTCTGATTCCATTTATATGAAATGTTCAGAATAGGAAATTCCATAAAGACAGAAAGCAGATTCATGGTTGCTGGGGACTAGGGGGAAGGTAGAATAGTAGGTGAATGCCTAATAAATACAGGGTTTCTCTTTGAGAGTGATGAAAATGTTCTAGAATTAGTGGTGATGATTGCACCATGTTGTGAATGTACTAAAACCTACTGAATTACACACTTTAAAATAGTTCAATGGTGAATTTATGACATGTAAATTTTACCTTAATTTTTAAAATATGGGTTCAGTTAGCTAGGAAGAAGTGAGAGAATCAATGATTGGCAGCCCACTTTTTGAAGAAGAGAAACCCTAGTGGCCTGAAAAACATATTTATCTCTCTCTCATTTTTGAAATATATCATTTGCGTGGTATAGAATTCCACGCTGACACATTTTTTTCCAGTGCTTTAAAGATGCCACTCCACTGTCTTCTAGCTTACATAGATTTGATCAGAAGTCTACTATAATTCTTATCTTTGTTAGTCTTTATATAATGTTTCCTTTTTTCTCAAGCTGCCTTTAGCATCTTTGTCTTCCTTTGTCAGCAGTTCAAATAATACATGTCTAGGTCTGTTCTTAAATGTTTACCCTGGTTAGTATTCTCTGAGCTTCTTGGATTTTTAGCTTGGTATTTATCATTAGTTTTGAAAATTTCAGCCAGGCATGTTGGCTTATGCCTGTAATCCTAACACTCTGGGAGGCCAAGGTGGGAGGATGACTTGAGCCCAGGAATTCAAGACCAGCCTGGGCAACATAGGGAGACCCCTATCTCTACAAAAAATAAAAAATTAACTGGGTGAGATGGTGCATGCCTATAGTCCCAGCTACTCAGGAGGCTGAGATGGGAGGGTCTCTTGAGGCTGAGAGGTCGAGGCTACAGTGAGCCATCATTGTGCCACTGCACTCCAGTCTGGGTGAGAATGAGACCCTGTCTCAAAAAAAAAGTTGTTTTTCTTTTTTTGAAAAACCCCTGGCCATTATTTCTTCAAATATTTCTTCTGTTCCATCATCTTTCTTTTCTCCTGGGATGTCAGTTGCATATACGTGTGTTTGTTTAATATTGTGCCACAGCTCTTGGATGCTCTGTTCTGGTATTGTTTTGCTTTTTTCACTTTTTTCTTTCTGTTTCGTGTCGGATAATTTCTATGGAATTATCTTCAGGTTCACTTATTTTTTCCTCCACTGTGGAGGAAAAAAACTACTACTGGTGAGCCTGACAAAAGCAACCTTTATCTGTGTAACTATACTTACTATTTCCAGAATTTCCATTTTATTATTTCTTAGAGTTGCCATCTCTCTGATGAAATTACCCATCTGATCAGGAAGGCTGCCTACCATTTCCACTAGATCGTTTAACATATCAAACATAGTTCCTTAAGTTTCTCTTTCTGATAATTCCAATATATGTATCATATATCTAAGTCTGGTTATGTTAATTGCTTTGTCTCTCTTTTTTTTTTTTAGAGGGAGTCTCTTACTCTTTCACCCAGGCTGGAGTGCAATGGCACAATCTTGGCTCACTGCAACCTCCGCTACCCGGATTCAAGCGATTCTCCTGTCTCAGCCTCCTGAGTAGCTGGGATTACAGGCATCTGCCACCGCGCCCAGCTAATTTTTGTATTTTTGGTAGAGACAGGGTTTCACCATATTGGCCAGGCTGGTCTTGAACTCCTGACCTCATGATCCACCAGCCAAGGCCTCCCAAAGTGCCAGGATTACAGGCGTGAGCCACCGTGCCCGGCCTGCTTTGTCACTTTATAGTACGGTGATTTTCTCTTGCTTTTTCATATGCCTTGTAATAATATTTTGTTGAAAGCTGGATATCTGGGCCGGGTGCGGTGGCTCACGCTTGTAATTCCAGCACTTTGGGAGGCCGAGGTGGGCGAATCACAAAGTCAGGAGTTCAAGACCTGCCTGGCCAATATGGTGAAACCCCATCTCTACTAAAAATACAACAAATTAGCTGGGCATAGTGGCGGGCGCCTGTAATCCCAGCTACTTGGGAGGCTGAGGCAGGAGAATCGCTTGAACCCAGGAGGCGGAGGTTGCAGTGAGCTGAGATTGAACCATTGCACTCCAGCCCTGGCGACAAAGTGAGACTCCGTCTCAAAAAAAAAAAAAAAAAAAAGAAAAAAGAAAGCTGGACATCTATTGTAAGAGAGTAGACTGAGTTAAATCATTTTTATACCTGAAAATGATCACCCCTTTCCTTCTGCTAGGACTTTAGTATGGGAGATTGATTCAGTCTAGTCAGGAGCTGAGCTGTGTTTGGGTTTTGTTCTTGCTATGTTACTGTCAGTGCATAACAGGCTCCAGGTTTCTCTAATATTACTTTGTGTTTATGGTTGAGGCTGGTTTGCCAGAGGTTTGCTCAATGTCATCCTCCATGCTCTTGATGGTATTTCAGCAGTAGACTGCAGTTGTTACTTAATGCTTATTAGCCTGGTTGGTCAGGGTGGGGAGATTCTGTTTTTCTGATTCAGCTTCAGTTTTAGACAGGGGCTGTGCCCCTGAATCTCAGGACAGGGCCTTCTCCCTGATCCTATGCCACCCCCAGCTGGAATACTTCTGATGGTCTGGGGCCTACAAAGGTAGAGGAGGTCTGGGGCCTACAAAGGTAGAGGATTTTTTTCTTTTCCCTTTTTCCAGCTGCAATGGGTCTTCACCTATACGTGATTTATGGCCTCACGACAGGACTTACTGCTCTTCATCTAGCAACTTAAGGCTTTTGTTTCCATAGGGAAGAGAAGGGAGAAGAATCTGGGAAGGGCTTGGTGCCTTTCCCCTCAGCAGCTGCTCTTCCTTTTCCCCAGGCCTGTACCACGAGTGATATTTTTTCAGGACTCTCACACTACCCCCAGTCTTTCTTGTGAATACACACTAAGGTTCGTGGAAAGGACCCTGCAAGTGAGTGTGAATTCTCCCTGTACTTGTAAGTCCCAGCATTTCTGTATTCTCACGCTGGGCTACAGTTGGCCTTTAGCAATTCATTAAAACTTTTATCTGGATTCTTACAAGCTTGATGGGAGGGAAGTGGGGGAGTCGGCTCCAAATAAGCAAGTGCACCTGTGCTACATCTCCTTCAAGATGTCTTTCCTTAGATTAAGGTTAATTGAGTTGACCTAGAACTTCAGCTTGCTGACAAATTCAAGAAAAGTTGTGAATTTACAGTGTCTTGTGATTTCTTTTCTTCTTGTATGTGTGATTTCTTTTGTTGTAAGAGTGAAAGTAATGCTACTTCCAACTTTCCTTTCTAAGGAATCCAGAAGCCCGAGAAACCCTATTTTGTAGTTGAATCTCTGTTAGATGTACCTCAGTGTAATTCTTAACTAATACAGGTTCTAACTTCATTCATTTATCAAAAATAATGAAACCATGAGTACCTGAAGAATTGGAACTTTTTTATAACTTCAGGAAGAGAAAAACCTTTCTAAGTGTGACTTAAAACACAGAAGCCATGGCCGGGCACAGTAGTACATGCCTGTAATCACAGCAATTTGGAGGGCCGAGGCAGGAGGATTGCATGAGACTAGGGGTTCAAAACCATCCTGGACAACACAGGAGACCCCCATCTCTACAAAATAAAAATAAAAATTAGCCAGGTATGGTGGCACATGCCTGTGATCCCAGCTACTAGGGAGGCTGAGGTGGGAAGATCGCTTGAGCCCAAGAGATCAAGGTTGCAGTGAGCCATAATGGCACCACTGAAATCCAGCATCATGGCAACACAGTGAGACTCCGTCTCAAAAAAAAAAAAAGACCCACAGAAGCCATAAAATAAAAGACTAATAAATTCAACTACATAAAATCCAAAAATTTACATGTGGCAAAAACTCATTATAAATATCAAATGACAAACTGAGAAAAAGTATTTCTGATACATATATAATTTCTTAATATTAAAAAACACTTACATATCAATAAGTGATTTTTGCCCAATAATCTGTGAGCTAAGAATAGGAAGAGATATTTCACAGAAAAGAAGCAAAAAGGTGATTATCATACATTGAAACACATTTATAAATATATAAAATACAAATTTGCACTTCTCATATCGACAAAGATCAAAAATTTGATAATATTGAGTCAACAAGCATAGGAAGAGAGGCACCCTTACAGAGTTTTGGTGAGAGTGCAAATTCATACAATTGGTAGGCAATTATGCAATATCAACATTTAAAATACACACACCTTTTGACCCATTAATTCAACTCTTAGGAATTTCTCCTAGTTATATACTCATACCAGTGTACAAGAACTTATACACATGAGGTTCATGTCAGTGTTATTTGGTAGAACAAAAAAACTTTAAAGAAATATCCACGGATATAGGATTGAAAATAAGTCATGTTATAGTTTTACCAAAGAAGACTGTACAAACATTAAAGAAAATTATATACAGAAGATATATTCATAATAATTAAAACTAAAAGAAAAGGGAAAACAGTATCTAGCATGTTTCCATTTATGAAGAAAATATATCAATTTATTTATGCTTCCCATGCTAAATTAATTCTGAAAGATACAGGAGTATTGAGGAAACTCTCCAGGAAATTGATCTAGGGGCAAAGATTTCTTTGTGGAGCAATACCCGATAAGCACAGACAGCCAAAGCAGCAAAAGTGGACAAATGGGCTCACATCAAGTTAAAAAGCTTCTGCACAGCAAAGGAAACAATCAACAAAGTGAAGAGACAACCCCAGAATGGGAGAAAATATATTTACAAACTATTCATCTGGACAAGGGATTGATAACCAGAACATATAAGGAGCTCAAACAACTCATTAGAAAAAAAAATCTAATAATCCTATTGAAAAATGGACAAAAGATCTTTTGTCAAAAGAAGACATTTCTCAAAAGAAGATATACAAATTGCAAACAGGTCTCTGAAAAGGTGCTCAATGTCAGTGATCATCAGAGAAATGCAAATCAAAACTACACTGAGATATCATCTCACCCCAGTTAAAATGGCTTTTATCCAAAAGACAGGTAACAATGAATGCTGGCAAGGATGTGGAGAAAAAGAGAACCCTTGTACACTGATGGTGGGAATGTAAATTAGTACAGCTACTATGGAGACCAGTATGGAGGTTCCCCAAAAAAACTAAAAATAGGCTCACGCCTGTAACCCCAACACTTTAGGAGGCCGAGGTGGGAGGATCACCTGAGCCTACGAGTTCAAGACCAACACGGGCAATAAAGTGAGACCTCATCTCTACAAAAAAAAAAAAAAAAATCCAAAAATTAGCTAAGTGTGGTGGTGCATGTCTGTGGTCCCAGCTACCTGGGAGGCTGAGGCAGGAGGATTGCTTGAGTCCAGGAGGTTGAGGCTCCAGTGAGCCATGATCACGCCACTGCACTCCAGCCTGGGTAACAGAGCAAAAACCTGTCCAAAAAAAGAAAAAAAAACCTAAAAATACAACTACTATATGATCCAGCAATACCACTGCTAGGTATACAACCAATAACCAAAAGAAAGGAAATCAGTATATTGAAGAGATATCTGCACTCCTATATTTACACAATAGCCAAGATTTGGAAGCAAACTAAATGTCCATCAACAGATGAATGGATAAAGAAAATGTGGTACATATACACAATGGAGTGCTATTCAGCCATAAAAAAAGAATGAGGTCCCGTCATTTGCAACAACATGAATGGAACTGAAGAACATTATATTAAGTGAAATAAGCCAGGCATGGCAAAATAATTTTGCATGTTCTCACTCATTTGTGGGAGCTAAAAATTAAAACAATTGAACTCATGGAGATAGAGAATAGAATGATGGTTACCAGAGGCTGGGAAAGGTAGCGGGGTGAGGTGTGGGGGTTTGGGTGGGAGAAGGGCAGATGGTTAATGTATACAAAAAATATAATTAGATAGAATAAATAAGACCTAGTATTTGATAGCACAACAGGGTGGTTACAGTCAATAATAATTTATTGTACATTTTCAAATAACTAGAAGTATAATTGGAATGTTTGTAACACAAAGAAGCGATAAATGCTTGAGGTGATGGATACCCCATTTACCCTGATGTGATTATTATGCATTGTATGCCTGTATCAAAATATCTCACATACCCCATAAATATATACACCTACTATGTACCCATACAAAATAAAAATAAAACATTTTTTAAAAGAGAGATACACGAGGAAGAAAAATAGGAGGAGACAGGGATGAGAGACAGCTATACACTCTTCTGCCTTTTAAATTTTGTGCCATGTGTAAGTATGCTTACTTTAAAAAAAATAGTCTTAGGGATTGAAATAAAATAGATACAAAGGCCCTCCCTCCATCAAGAGGCCTCTATCCTGATCCTCCAATCTTTCTCACAATTGCTCTCCAGTCCACCCTTCTATATTCTGCTAGAGATACACTGCATTTGTTATTGCCAAATGAACTCCATGGCCCATTCCCTAGATTCAGCATGAGCTGGTAAGTTTTTCTCCCACCAGGAAGAGTCCTTTTACCCACAACCTGCACTGTTAAACTTAACTTCGACTACCCAGGAGCCCTCTCTGATGACCATGATCCTCACTATGATTTCTCTTCTCTGAAATGGAATGTTTGTGGCCAGAGCCTTACGAATGAGTATATAAGTCTATTTGTAGTGATTGTTGGCTCTTGCTTTGTATGAATTAGTCTTGTCTTTGAAACTACATTTTTAAGTATCTTGAAAGCAGAAAGCCAATGCGGCTCAAATGTCTTTGTATCCTCAACACTCCCCAGCTTAGGGCTGAGCACATATTGGGTGCTTACCACATCTGCTGGGTGGGCTGGATACTGAGGAAGGACCAAAGCCTCTTCAGAGATTTTCAGCCCAAAGGTTTCTTGGCCTGAGACCACCATTACCAGAGCAGAACTCTCTCAAGGAAATTCAGGAATACTGAGGTGTTGGTGGCATATCACAATATCTACAAAAGCTAGGCAGGTAAATCAATAGTCTGGCTATGGAAGTAATGGGTCCTGAAGCTGAATTGGAAAACACATGCCCTGCCTAAAAATTTACAAAATACAGATTTGAGAAAAATAAACAAACAAACAAAAAAAACATCCTCAGGCAAACAGCATACATCCAACCATGAACAGCAACTAGTCACTTGTGACCCACAGTCAGAAGCGGCCACTAACCCATCTCTGCAGGCATTCATCTCCCTGAGCATGAATGTGCCTCCATGGAAGGTAGCATTTACAGTCCCAACCCATCTGCAAGCTTGAGGCCACACAGACCAGATACGTACAACCACCTTGGCCTCTCCCTACCACCCTACCACATCAGCCATGGTCCCCTTCCTGCACCTCTGTTACCAATCACCCATTGCCTAAAACATCAAAGATCTCCATTTCCAAGCCATAACCAGACTCCGCCCTCCCTAAATTCATGTGTGTTTCTCAGGTATATTACCAAAACTAGTGGGAGAGTTAGTGGAGGTTCCTCCGGCCTATCTACCCCTTCTTATGAGGTGACCCCTGTGCCAAAGCACTCAGTTTTCTGAGGACAGGTGACCATACAGTTGTGAAGGAGAGAGCCGAGGCATCAGGCTGGTATAGGGAGTGGAAAGTGAAGACAGACTAGGAAATAGACACTGCTTGTGGCACCTTCAGTCCCAGGCTCAAAACACCCTCATCTACAGACTGAATCACCACATGAGCTTCCCTACTACATGTACCTTATGAAACAGGAGGGCTTTGTGATGCAGTCTGGTGGCCTAGTTCCGTCCTCTGTGAGGTGGACATGACAAGGCCTAGCACTGGGATTCATTAGGCACCAGAACCCTGAATTCCGAGATAGAGGGATGGTTGATCTCATGCTAATGAAGTTTAGACCATGTTGAGCCCTACTTTTGTTCTGTGGGAAGTTGGATATCCCTTATACATCTATGGCTCCATCTTCATCGTTATTGTAATTATCTGGCAAGTGAAAAGGAGCCACCATGAATTGAGTTCAGAACCTAAAAGGAGCTGCTGCCGGGTAGGGCTGTGATCCCAACTGAACTAATTAAGCCTCAGATAAGAAGCCTATAAGTTCTTACCGTGCTCCCTTATAATCCCCACCCCAGAATTTTTATAGCATACTTTCAGTTACCTTTGTGTAATACTTTTCTTCTCAGAGACTATAATTCCTTACCAGGCCCTTCCCGCAACATAGTCTGATTGAAAAGCCAAGAACCTCTCTATTTGGTTTGGATTGAGAACTAGATAATATGAAGTCTATCTTGCTGGATCTCGGAAGCTCTCTGAATATGGGGGATTTTTCCGGTTGGTGGGCTTTGTAAGCAGAAGTCCTTTGGTTGTTAGAACCATTTACCCTTTTGTCTGTTCTGCTTTTCCTCCTGTGTCATCCTCAGCATCCAGCAGGACTTCTCTGTGAATCAGATGGGAGGTATAGAATTTGGAAAAGCCTCCAAGTGAATCCAAAATAAGCAGAGAAGGAAAATGGGGTAAAAAGGTGGAATAGGCAAAGGAAGTCCAGGAGAGTGTATAAAATACAGATAGATATATACAAAGCGAGTGAAAAATGTATGTAAGTTTTGTCTCATTTTGGACATGAGAAAGAAAATGGTGTCCCAGCTTCACATTCTAATGTTTTTGTCTTCTAAGTGTCACCAAAAAGTCAGGCAAAGAGCTAGAGATGCAGCATCAACAGGTAAAGTCCCAATCTCTCCTCTGACTCCCTTCCACTGTGGGTGTTTCCCATGAATCCTGTCCCTCTGTGACCTCTGGAGCCAAGAGCCAGGTGCTCTGCCACTGAAGACTCCAGTTCCCCAGACTGAAATTTCCATGGGTGGGAAATCATAACTTGAGAATGTTCCAAAATCCTGTACCTCAATGCCCTGGAAATGAAGAATTAAGAAAGTAGAGCAGATGTTCTTAATTGTATAACTTACTAGTTTTATGACCCTGTGGAAGTCATTTCATCTCTCATTCTTATCCACAAAATGAGCAAAACACTGACAATCCTGCCTCAATCACATTGTGGTTGTAAAAATCAAATGAAATTAGATATGGGACATTGTGTTACAGCGATGCTGTACTCAGACATGCCTTAGAGTACGGACTTTTCAGGATTGTAGTCTTTTCTTGATGAGAGTCAAAGGCCTTACTATTCAGCTTCCTATAGGATGCCTATGAAATTATCCCATGCCATATAACACTGTCTCCCCGTTCCTCAGCTAGGAGACGTTCCCGGGAAGAAGCTGAGAAGCCACAGAAGCTGCTCTCCATCATTAAAAGGTGATCTATTGCTCTTTGCACTCTATCAACAACCAGCCTGGCCTATGATGATTTCTTGGCTTGGCCTGGGGCAGGACTAAGGAGAAAGATAATGGCTGGGAGGGAGACATACACAGTGGAAGCAGGGACACTGGGTGAGAGGGTTGCCAGGGAAGAGTGGGGTTCACATGTCTCAGGAGAGATGAGCTGCCCAGTTCAGTTCTGTGCTAGGGTAACAGCAGTTCTACAATTCAGGATTTTACTAGTGTATAATTCATAAAACATATTACATGGAGCTGCACTCAGCCATGAGATAAGTTACCCAGTTAAGAGAATGGGTTTTGAATAAAGAAGTCATCCTTGTCTTATTCTCTTTATACTCTTTCAAGGGAATAAAGCTATACCCTTTCAAGGGAAAATACCTGACTCTGGCTAGACTCTGCTGACATGACCTCCTCCGGTTCTGTCTTCAGTGAGGCCAGTACTTGGGACACTCCTTAGACAGGAGTCTATTATATTATCCTCTCCTTAAGAGCTCTAGAGAACAGGACTGGTTCCGAAGAGATGCTGGGTATAACATTACGGGTACCAAATACCCCAGAATGCAGAAGTCCCACAAGGACCTCATTTTCTACAGCTTGGAAGTACTGAATACAGGCTTTGGATTTCTTAGCCTCAAATAAGACTGGTCTGGGTTCTAACTGGTGATGTTCCTGGTGATGCCCCATCAGCTAACTGCCTAGCTCCATTCTCCTAGTTCAGCTTTTCAACAAGGTCAACAGAGAACTGACTCCAACTCCCAGCCCTCTCTGAGGGCCATGCCCTCCCATGGGTTGTCTGAGGCCTTGCCCAACAAGCTCCAGACCATCAGCCCAGCCCACCACACCTTGCCAAATGGCATTTTCTTAGCAAGGAAAGCAGACAGGTAGACAACAAGATGGTATAGGCCCCAGGGTTTTCAGGACTGGGAAAGGAGAGTGCCCACTCCAGCCCACACTCTTCCAAGAAGGCAGATGTCACTCCATCGTTAATTTTGCCGTGTTTCCCTTCCTAGCCAGGGCTGGCTTCCTCTGGAGAGAAGTGTGCGGCGAATCCTGTGTGCAGATCCCTGCTGCCAAATCTGCAATTCTGTGGCTCTGGAGATTCAGCAATTGCTGGTGGGTGAGAACAACCAGATCTCCCTGACTTTATCGGGGCCATTGCAGGGCTCCTCTTGCCTAGAGATGCTGTCTACGTCTAGTATGTCTTTAGATCAGAGTCTGGAGTTTCATTCCTGGCACACCAGAGAGCTTTCACTGTCATCTGTAACCCCAACACTGTCACAATTAACAGATCAGAAATCTTTAACCCAGTCAGCTGCCCAGTCAACGTATGCAGATGGCATACAAGATTACTGGGCTGATCACCTCCAGCTAGGGCAGGAATTTCAAGTGCCAGATGTGCTCCGGGGCCCAAACACCATAGCTTCTTCAAGGATTGAGAAGCCAAGGGCTCCACTGAACCAGGAGGAGATGACGCAGAGCAACCCCAGCCTTGTCCAGGGAAACCAAGGCCAGCATCACTTGAATTCCCAGGTCTCCTTGCTGTCCCTGAACCCAGAAACCCTGAACCGGATGCATCCAATGGCCTTGCATATGGTCCTCCCTGCCCACCTGCCATTTCTCAGTCCTGAAGTGCTGAGGCTTCTTGAGGTACATGTTAAAAAATGGATGCATTTCCAGAGGTGGGGGCTCCCAAGACGTGTGGAGGAGTCCCTGAGGCAGCTTATGCCAAACCCACCATTGTATTACCAACCTGGAAATGACCAGCCAGTTTCTTTCAACCTGAAGAATACTCCTCAGGTCTCTCTTCATAGATTTGAGACCATTTCCCTCCAGACCTGGTGTTCATGTGTGGCTGGCCAGCCCATCCAGACCTTCTGGGTTTCTGAATGGTCCACAATGAACCCAGAACAAAGACACCACTGTCAGCAAACTCCAAACCCTATGGCTCTAGCCTTGCCCTCTCCAGCCCTTAAAGCCCTAAGTGGCCCCCATCCACAGTCTGGGGGACAAGATAATGACTCAGGGAGTGATCTCCAGCAGAAATACAGCCAGCTATTCTGTGGGCTCCCTTCTCTGCACAGTGAGTCCCTGGTTGCCACTTTCATGGGATCTCAAGGCCTCCCCAAGATTGAAAATGTGCCCAAGCCCCCCTTGAAGGATCCTTTTCTCTTCAATGAGCTCTCCTTCCCCCAACTGCTCCCTAAAACTTCACCCCAGTCAGCCCCACCCTCTTCCCCACTTTCCCCAAACTGGATGTCTCCATCTGACCATCAACGAGCTCAGATCAATGTCCCATTTCTGACTCTGGCTGAGTATGAAGCCTTGGAGTGGCACCTGCTACAGAGGCAACTCCAGCTTCAGTGGGGCTGGCCAGCTGCCCTCCAGAGGTCTCAGCACACCCAGTGCCTCATGCAGCATGAGCCCTGTGGCAAAGCTCAGTCTCCTGAGACCACGACAGCTTCCCAGACAGGGAAGTCCATCTCAGTGCTCACCAGGGAACTACTCTTCTTCCCGGAGCATGCCCGGAAGCTGCTGGAATTCCACATCCAGAAACAGTTGATTCGCCATCGCTGGGGCCTGCCTCAGAAGATCCAGCAGTCCATCCAGTTGCTCCTTACCTCCACTGATCAGCAGACTGTGTCCAGCAGCAGCACAGCCCTAGCCAACGTGAGCATCCCCCAGCCTGTAGCCCTAGAGGCCAACGGGGCTTGCGATGTGCTGTCACCCATTGCGGCCCCAGTGTCCATCCCCAGGCCACACTTGTTAACTCAGGTCAAGGCAATACTGCAGAGCCACATCGACTCCAAATGTGGACAAATCCACCAGGGCAAGATCCCCGCCTGTGTACACAGGTCCTGGGACTGCAGAATTTCTGGGGTCCTGGCAGTGGCTCCTTTTCCCTGCATTCCAGAAAGCCAGTTCCTGGAACTGCAGACAGCAAGTGACCCGGACCTGCATCACAAAGTTATGCCCTGGATGCCAACGGCCCTTGATCAGCAGCAACAGGCTTTACCAGGTACTGTCACTGAACACCCTAAGCTGCTCCGAGTCTTGTCTGTGGAAGCCATTGAGAAACTGGAGACAACTTTACGGCACAAGCATCTGGCCTTCCTGTCGGGGCTGCCTGCTCTGTATTATGTGGCGCTCCCCAGGGCCCTGGCCCCGGCAGTCACTAGCCAATCTGTCATCACAGAGATGGAGCCTAGTCCCGTGGAAATCCCAGCAGAGCCTCTGATTCAGATGGTTTCATTTGAAGAACAGTGTATAAGTCTTGGGCCATGCCCTCAAGGCAACAATGAGAGTTGTACAGACGTTGCAAAAGAGTTCCAGCCTGCAGTGCCAGTAAAAGGAACAATGGAGACGCTGCCTCTAGAAAGCCAGACGCATCCTACTAGCCCCCACTCACTCCAGACACATATCTTGACCAAACTAAACTTCCACCTGAGAAAAAAGGTCCTAGAGATACAATGGGGAATTCCCATTAGGGCAAGGAAGTCCAGGGAACAAACTGTTGCAGCACCAGAGAACATATCCACACAGAAGTCTCTTGAAAGTCTAAACCACCAAGGGGAGACATTGCTCCAGGAACTGCCCATCCCACCAGACACTCTTCCTGCCCCTAATCCAGAAGGGGTTCACCTTAAAGAACAGCTGGCCAATGACTTGAAGGCAGTGCAGCAGAACCAAAAGCAATCCAATTCCAAAGCTGTACCCCAGGGTTCTGCCCACTCGGTCTCCAAGATCTCACAGCCCAGTGGGGACATGACAGAGGCCCACATGCCTTGTGTTCAGGTAGAGGCCAATGTGAACAAACCCAGCCTGGAGGAACCCTGTGGCCCTGAGCCTCAAAGCCCTAGCAAGAGCAAGGACCCAGCCCATGTCCCCATGCTAGCAGGAAACAGAGAGGACCCAGAGGAAACCAAAGCAGCCAGGGACCACAGAGAAGGGGATGCGGGGTTTGGGCGCTCCTCAACCAGAGAAGAGAGACGCCCTGCTGAAGACCAGAGGCCAGCAGGGATGCTTCCAAACAAGACACCCCGAGGGTCCTGGCGATGGAGCCGTAGCTTTCATCTTGCTGATCCCTGTCAACACAGCCCCCAGCATCACCCTCAGCTTAAGCTCCCACAGCTACCTCCACGAGTCCCTGGGGAGAAAGAGTCTGAGAAGGACCTGCAAGACAGTCAAACCAAGCTAACTGTCATCCTTGAACCAGCGACAATTCCTGAGAATGCCCAGACTGTGTTGCCCCAGGCTTCACAGGGTCAGCCTTTCCTGAGCCAACCAACTCAGGCTAAGCCTTTGCAGGGCCAAACTTTGCAAGGCCAAGTTTTGCATGGGCTGGTGATGCCAGTCCATGCTCAAAAGAAGCCCAGCCTTACAGAGTCTAGCTTCAGAAATAAAATTAAATGTTTTCTGCAGCATATTAACCCCAAGACAAAAGGCAAAGGGCATGAGGACTCCATGTTCTCAGCCGCTGCGAAGGTGGCCAAAACCAGAAAAGAAAATGTTGCAAAGAGCCTGGCTCCAGCCAAGAGCCCTGTGGGGAGAAGTAAGACGGAGAAGCCGACAGGGTGCTCCAAGGCCCAATCTCGTCCTGCTCAGAAGCTGGTGGGCCCAGCCTTCTTGGATGGTCCCCAATCCCTAGACGATAAGCTCCGGCTACACTCCAGACAACCTGGCTCTGCCTCAGCCCTGGGCTACCCCCGCCACTGCCCTCGTCACTGTCCTCGAGAGGCTTGTGCCAACAAACCAGGGCACCCAACCTAGCTCCTGACCCTCACCTCAGATAGAAACATTGGTCCGCTCAAGGAGAACATGCAGAGCCATGAAAAAGAGTTTATAGGCTCCCCAACTGCTGCAGCCCTCCAGAGGACCAGTATTGTCATTTCCATAAATGTGCAGGTGGGACAGATGCCACTAGAAATACACTCTATATTTCTCAGCAATACATTGTCTGTCTGCTCCTTGTCTCTGCTGTATTGTGTTAAGGGAAGGTGTGAGGGAGGCTAAAAAGTCCTTCCTGTCTAGGGAAGGAGCTTTAACTTACCTTTCAGATGGGTCACCATTCCACATCAAAGAAGAAAAGCTTTTATCTAGAGTGCACTGAAGTTAAAGGTCATGCTTGATTTCTGAACATTTACCATCCATCCCACCAGAATATTTTCCACTGTCCCATAACTCCAGGGCCTAGGAGAGTGGCTAATGCATAGTAAGACCTTACATTAGTTGAATCCAAAGTCAGGGCTGTGGAGACAGACAAAGCATTGATCATTTTAATGGGGCTATGAGGTGTGTGGTAGTGCCACAGGAGGAAGCAATCAGCTGGTGAGGAGGAACCCATAATAAAAATTACTTTGAGAAGCATCTTGTTTTCAACAATTAAATATCTGAGTGTTTATTACGTGCCAAGAACTATGCAAAACACATCAATGAACATGACACAGGCCTTGACCCAGTGGAGCTCATGATCCCATGGGGTCGACAGTCTATTACTCCCAAATTGTCCAGTCAAATTATAAACTTAGAAGTCCAATATTCATCTCAAACCATACAAAAATAAACGAACTGGTTTTCTACCCTTCACCACCACTCAGTCACACATACCAAACCCACTGTATTCATGATATTTCTCACTTCAGTGAATGGCAGCTCCATCTTTCCAGTTATTTAGGACAAAAACAATGGTGTTATCCTTGATTTTTTTCCTAACCCACAGTAAATCCTGTTCTCTCTACCTTCAAGCATGCATCGAGAAAATGCCCACTTCTCACCCTCTCTACTGCTACCATCACTCCAGTAGCATCATAACTAATCTCCCCATTTCATCCTGAGACTATTCAACCAACAGTTTATCCTCAACACAGAAGCCTGATGGTCCTCAGGGAGGGTCCTGGCTTCAGATAATACAGAGAGAGTGAGAAAGAAAAAACCATGCAACTGGATAACACACCAAACAACTAAGTGTAAATGGAGACATCTAAGGAGTAGGCCCTGAGACTCTTCTATGTTAAGAAACTGGAAAGTAAAGGAGGGACTAGTAAACAGAGGAAACTGACAAGCAGTGGCCAGTGAGATGGAAGGAAAACAAGATGAGTGTGGAATACTAGAAGCCAAACAAAAATGTTTTTCAAGGAGAGATCAACTGCATGAAAAGTTGCCAGTCAGCCAATTAAGATGAGGCGTGTTAGATTTAGCCACACAGAGATCATTGATGACCTTAACAGGAGCAGCCTCAGGTGAATGATGGAGATGAAGGTGTGACTGGAGTGGATTCCAGAGAGAGTGGACGGCTGGGCACAGTGGCTCACACCTGTAATCCTGGCACTTTGGGAGGCCGAGGCAGGTGGATCACCTGAGGTCAAGAGTTCGAGACCAGCCTGGCCAACATGGTGAAACTCTGTCTCTAGTAAAAATACAAAAATTATCTGGGCGTGGTGGTGCGCACCTGTAATCCCAGCTACTCAGGAGGCTGAGGAGAATCACTTGAACCCAGGAGGTGGAGGTTGCAGTGAGCCCAGACTGTGCCATTGCATTCCAGCCTGGGCGACAAGAGCAAAACTCCATCGAGAGAGAGAGAGAGAGAGAGAGAGAGAGAGAGAATGGAAAGACAGCAATTAGTGTTAGAAAGGGTAACATAAACTCCTCAAAGAGGTCTGTTCAAATAAAGATACAGAAATGTGAGGCATTAGAACCCAAAATGGCTTTTCAAAAAAGACTGGAGACATAGCATGGTGGATGTTAATGGAAAACATCCAGTGGAGATGGATAAATTAATGATGCAGGAGCTCAAGGGGAGAACTGCTGGAACAATGTTGTGGTTCAGAAGTGAAGGAATGGGAGCAAGTCCCCAAGTTGACAGTCTGGCTTTGGCTAAAAATACAGAACTTCACTGGTGGTAGAGAGAAGGTAGAGTTAATGAGGGAGGACTTCATGGATTAGAAGAAAGGATTCTTCCACATATAAGGGAGTGTGGGCAAAGACCCAGAGGGATGAGTGAGGACCTGGGAAGGGACCGTGTCTGTGGGAAGGGGGAACCGTATGGAGAACCAAAGCGGGAAAGCTGGAGGTGGAGAAAGATTCTGGAAGTTACCATGGAAAGTTTCTGTTAGGTCCCAAGCAGTTGGTTGTGAGTACATAGGTGGGTGAAAAGGTGATCAAAGCTGCTGCTGATATCTGTGCAGCAGGTGCTCTTGGAACACTGTACCAGCAGGAGAGCTCACAGAGAAAGCTCTAAATGCATGGAGACTGCGCAAGAGCATGAGGCTGGAGATGGAGAAACAGGGCAGAGATGGCATCCTAGTGCTCAGTGAGGTGAGGGACCAGGGAGGTTATATGGGTGGGATGAGAGGATTGGGAAGCAGGAAGACAAAGAAGCTGCCCTGAGAAGATGGAAGGGACATCGATTTTGGACAGCTATTATCCCTCAGGAGGTGGCACCTCTGCATTCCCCTTCTGACCTACCACAGAGGAGCCAAGAGCTGGAAAAAGGGCAGGAAGTGCTGTGACTTCTTTATGACATGTTTTTTGTTTTGTTTTGTTTTTTTTTTGAGACGGAGTCTCGCTCTGTCGCCCAGGCCGGACTGCGGGCTGCAGTGGCGCAATCTCGGCTCACTGCAAGCTCCGCTTCCCGGGTTCACGCCATTCTCCTGCCTCAGCCTCCCGAGTAGCTGGGACTACAGGCGCCCGCCACCGCACCCAGCTAATTTTTTGTATTTTTTAGTAGAGACGGGGTTTCACCTTGTTAGCCAGGATGGTCTCGATCTCCTGACCTCATGATCCACCCGCCTCGGCCTCCCAAAGCGCTGGGATTACAGGCGTGAGCCACCGCGCCTGGCCCTTTATGACATGTTTTGAGGGACAGTGGGATGCCCCTGGTTCCTACGGAAACCCAGGATCACTCACCATCTCATCACTAGGAGGAGGAGGTGGCAGGACTTGCTTCCTCTGATGGGACCCCAGCATTTAGCACAATGTGTCCACTGCTTGGATACAGAAGAGGCAGGATGGGAAGAAACATGGATATGTCCCTGCTCTGAATGCTGATTCTGTGCCTAAGGGATGGGGGCCCAGCCCATACATGGTCCCCAGGGCAGAGAGGCACAAGGCCCAAACCTGCTGAACCAACATTCAACAGATGTTTTCCTAAAGCATTCCCAAAGATCAAAGGAGGTATTGTGACAGGCACATCCTCCCTGCCTGGTGGGAGTGGGGCAGGCAGCCACACAGCTAGAACAGAGGGAGGCCCAGAATGAAGGGAATTGACTCAGGAGGGTCACAGCAGCATCAGGTAGGAAGCCAGGGGTTAGCGTGCATACATCCTGGTTTAGGGTGGAGCAGGTCCCTCCCATGGTTCCCTACAGGCTCCCACCTGCCTGAGGCCAGCATGGGCTCATGCTGCTAACTAAAGTCCCATGACAGAACTGGGGGCAAAGATGAGCTGGAACTGATACCTTCAGGATTCTGAGTTCTCAGCAAAGTTGAGAGCTAAGCAAAGTCAGGGTCAGAGCCTATGATTCATGCAGGATGCTGATGGCAGATGAAGCTTTGCTCATCCCATCCCATAACCCCAGCACAACCCCACCTTCTATCTTCCCCAGGGTGAAGAGAGGCAAGAAGCAAAATTCACATGTAGAGTACAAACTCAAGAAATTACTACTTCAGGCCAGGCGCTGTGGCTCCCGCCTATAATCCCAACACTTTGGAAGGCCGAGGCGGGTGGATCACTTGAGGTCAGAAGTTCAAGACCAATCTGGCCAACGTAGTGAAACCCCTGTCTCTATTAAAACTACAAAAATTAGCCGGGCATGGTAGTGTGCACCTGTAATCCCAGCTTCTCAGGAGGCTGAAGGAGGAAAATCACTTGAATCCAGGAGGCAGAAGTTGCAGTGACCCAAGATCAAGATCGTGCCACTGCACTCCAGCCTGGGTGACAGAGGCAGACTCCATCTCAAAAAAGAAAAAAGAAAATTTACTACTTCAGGTTTGGGGGTAGATGCTAGGAATACATCAGTGCTTGCTTGGGATCTTTGGGTTCACCTCTGGCACACTCAGGTAACATCATGTCATGGTGAATGGCCCCGACCTTCTAGAGCTCTTCTCTTGGGCTTTCCAGAAGGGCACTTCAGAATTGGCTGGAGGGAATTTCAGGAAACCGACCACCAGCAGTGGGAGGAGGGTGGCTTCTCCACAACATAACTTGTGTTCAACACTGAGTTGTTGAGGGCAGGGACCATGGCTGCTTCACTTCTGTACCTGCTCACTGCAGCCCAGGCAGGGAAGGCAAGGCACACAGGATGAACACAGGAATAGACTCCATGGAGACACTGCTTCCTGCACCATGTGGGAGGTGGCTGGGCCTCTGCTGCTTAACCAGCTAACCAGGGCTGAATACTCTACCTGGCCTCTGGAGCCCATGGTCTAGGCCAGGCCTACCATAGATGGAAGGGCCAGAATAGCCCCTGTGTCCTCTGCAGGGACAGAAGAGAAGAAAGGACTTCCTTGAGCTCAGGTGGGAATATGAGAGGTAAGCACAAAGCAGGCATGTAAAGTGCTTGGGGACACAAAGGACCAGATGCCTCACAGGGCTGACCAGTCTTGCAGAGGTCTGTGCATTCTCAGGCCCAGAAACAGTGAGGCCAGGACCCTGAGAGAGCATGGGGAGGGAGAGGGGGGCCTGGGAAGGGGCCAGTGAGATTCAGTTTCCAGAAGGAGGGGTGAGTGCTGCCAACTGCCCCCCTTTTCTGCCTTGTCCCTCTCCTCCACTATAAACACTCAGCTAGTGGCTAGGCAAGTAGCATATTAGGGGATTTCCAGAATGTGTCACTTCCAAGGTCAGGCCTGCTACAAAGGCCACAGGGGCAGGTCCCTGGGCAGGCAGACTGACCCATGGGAATCCAGACGGCGGGAAGGGAAGCCCTCCTTGCGGTAAATAGTACCAGCAGCTGGGGTATGTCAGGGGAGGTGGAAGATACAGTAAGGGGCCAGGGAAGAATCAAATACACACAGTCAAAGACACATGGACACAGACATCCCACCACACAGGTACATACAGAAAAAGACAAAAGTCAACCGTGCCACTCAGAAACTAGTTCAGAGTAAGGACAAACACGTCAAGGAAGACAAACTCACATGGACCCATGAACACCCTGCATCAGACATGCCTGAGCAGACACGGGCACAAACACACATGCAGACACAAAGACAGGTTTGCACACAGAACCCATCTAACAGACCCACAGATACAAATGCAGTCCAAATCCATCCTGCAAAGACCCTCTCCTCCATAAATCCTCTAGGCCACCTCAGACCAGGTTCATCTCTCCTTTAAATCCTGGTTTGTCGTTTCTGTCCTATTGCTTGTCCTTTAATAGGATAGCTTTGGTTTCACGTGCATACCCCTGGTCTCAACAATGTGGCTGTGTGCTCTTAAAGAATGTCAGGGTCAGGAAGAGAGTCCACTGCCCTCTTCAGCAGCCTCATCCTTCACCTACACACCCATCTCCCTGAGGGCCCCCAATTTACTGCTGGCTCCATCCTTGAAGGGTCCTGACTCTCAGACTCTTTGACATAGCAGACACAAGGGAAGAACAAACCAGGTAGACACACTTAGTCCACGTTATCCTCGGGAAACCATGAAGAACCAGGTCCTGGTTCCCCAGTTAGAAAACCCTTACACAAGACATGATCTCATATGTAGCTCTAGCCTAAACTTCATGTTAACCCACAATCCCAACCTTATTGACCACACCTCTAAACCCAACTCCAACCCCATTCCCAAAGAAAACTCTAAATCATAGTTTTTCAAATAAGACTCTGGGAACAACTGTACCCAGACAGATAATGCTGGTGGGTGTGATCCAAAAATGTTTACATGGCCAAATAAGTTTGAGATAGAAAACTGATCTGCCCTCTCCCCAGGAGCTGAATGCCTCCCTCCTCTAGCTGGATCATAGCTGCAGGGGCCACTCTGTGCCCCTCACCTGTGGAGGTCCTGGAAAACAGCCAACAACTTGTCATCTACATCAGATCAATACCACACGTTATGCAGAAGCGTAAGTCCCTCTCCAGACTAGCTTGAAAGCTTAAAACCAGGCCGGGTGCAGTGACTCACACCTGTAATCCCAGTACTTTGGAAGGCTGAGGTGGGCAGATCGCTTTGAGCTCAAGAGTTGGAGACCAGCCTGGGCAATATGGTGAAACCCCCTTTCTACAAAAAAAATGTACAAAAGTAAAATAAAATAAAACAGCTGGGCATGGTGGGTCACATCAGTAGTCCCAGCTACTCAGGAGGCTGAGGCTGGAGAATAGCTTGAGTCTGGGAAGCTGAGGTTGCTGTGAACTGAGATTGCACCACTGCACTCCAGCCTGGGTGACAAGAGTGAGACCCTGTCTCAACAAAACAAAACAAAACAAAACAAAACAAAACAAAACAAAGCAAAACAAAACAAACAAAAAAGGAGAGAGAGAAAACTTAAAAGCAACCTCCAACACAAAATTTATCTCCTTGGATTAAGATCATTTAGGATTTAGGTTAAGATCTCCTCACTCTTAATCCAAATCCTAAATGCAAGCAGTGCCCTACTCCAACCCTAACACAATCCTCATCTAAGATACGCCTGTTTCTATCAACAGGAACCGCAAACCCAATTCCAAATCCTACTTTAACATCACCATGATTCCAGCCCTATCCAATTTGGAACCACAACATCAATGCTGTTCTAAGCATAATCCTAACTCTAACCCTAACCCTTGGTAGAGCTACACATTGATGAATGCATGCAACTACACTAGACACACACATTTTGCACACTTATGACTCCGAGAAACTGAGTAGCTCCTTCAGTAACGGCTGCACAGTCCACAGGGCATCTTATTTCTAGAGGGCTCAATGCTCCGCTGAGAACCCAGGAGCAGCAACGCACCCAGGCCCTTTGACCTTTGTTGGATATACAGGCCCATGGGCCCCAGCCCACCCCAATCCTATTCCAGGACTTGCCTAGCCCTTGAGCTGAAATTCCCGCCATACCCCTCCCTGGCTCTTGCCTGCCAAGCTGGGAGCATCTGCTGCCCTGGAAACCCCACCAGGCAAGAGCAAACGGGCCTGAGACTGAAGGGAATGTGGCCCTTTCCAATTAGGGGATTTCCAGACTCTTGCAACACCCACACCTAGGATGTCTACTCCAGGTGCCTGTCCTAGAGAGGTAGTGGGCCTGCTGAGGTAGGTGTGAATAAGCACACTTCCTCTCCCCCTCCCAGGATCTCAGTCTGGTGAATTCATCATCACGGGTAGGGCTGAAATCAGCCATGTGTACCTCCTTTATCCTTCACCCCAGGTACCAGTGAAGCACTCCTCTGCACCTAGGCCATCCCAGAGGTTGTCACAAAGTAGCCAGTTTCTCTCAGGAGCTCACCAAGCCAACATCTTCACCCAGAGGACTGGAACTGTAGGTGGAGACCCACATCTCGGATGTGCAGCCATCTGAGTCTTTGTGTCCCCTTCCCCAAGCTCTGCATCCAGCCTGGTCTGAGGACTGAGAGGAGCTTGGGTCAAAGCTGCAGGCTCCAAATCCCCAAACCCAGCTTACAGTTCAAGTGGGGCTGTGGGGTACAATAAACCCAGGCCAGCAGCTGAGGGCAGAGGAATGGCTCAGAAGACTTGGGGTCCCAGAAAAGGGTAATGGCTCTCTCATCATCCGAGCTCCTCACTCTCTTCTACCCTGCTTCAGTGCCTCCCTCTCACCACCCCTGCCACCAGGTCCACTCACAGACTGGAGACGGGGTAGGGACTCGCTATCCCATCCTCACTCTCAGGGCAGCTGTTTTCTGCGCTGGATTTTGTCCAGCCAGGTTTCCACCTCCAGAAAAGCCCCTACTGCTTCCTTCATTTCCCTTAGGGCTCCTAACCTTGATTCTAAGCTCCAGCACCAAGCAGACAGACCTCAATATCTCCAGGATGTAACATCTCCCTGAGACTGCTCTACCACTGCAGGCTCAAGTTCACAGGCAGGGGCTTAGGGTTGATGCCTAATCAACCTAGATTCCTGCATCTAGGAAGACCAGGCAGAGATGGGACCTAGGGGGTTGTGCACACCATCTGACACAACAAGAAGCTTCTTTCATGGCATGAATAAGGGTAAGGGAGACAGGCAGGTATCTTGGAGAGAAAGCAAGCCTAAGCTTTTAGGAAAGAAAAAGGTACAGCCCCCTCCTCTTCCCTGCCATCTCTCCTTTTTTTCTACAATCTGTGCCAGGCGAGAAAGTCTCCTCCTCCAGGGGAGGTAGAGGGGGCATCACTCCAGCTTTCCTTTCCCCAGACCAACTTTGTTCCCTTTCACCGGCTCTGTGTCAATCTAGAGTGTGGGATGGGGAGCAGAATAGGCCCAAGTGGCTCTCCCAGCCCCACCCCACCAAATGCTTAGAATTACCTGCAGAACTTGGTAAAAATACACATTTGTTGGCTCTATTCTGAGATTCTATTTAAGGCGGTCTGGCGTGTTGCTTCTAATTCTGTTTTTAAAAAGTCACCCAGGTGATTCTGAAGTGCAGCCAAGTTTGGAAGCAAACTAATATAATATGACTTCGGAATTATCTGCATGCCCCCTCCCAAGCCCATGCTATTCTATCTGTCTGAGAATTCCTCAGAGACAGGCTGCTCACTACTTTCTTAGTCACTCCCATTAGGCAGGTGGGGAAACCAGGGAGCTGGGAATTTAAAACTTTCTGGTTCCAGGATCTGCCTCTAGACCAGGTAAAAGATCCAAGAAATCTTATCTCCTTGTTTTTGCCTAGTCTTGTTCCAGGAACACCAGCTTCTTGCCAACAGAGTCACTCCCTGCCCTGCTTAAGGTCTCAGCCTTAAGGTCTCTTGAGTCTGAAAACCTCAGACTCAAGAGCTCAATTATTTCTCCTCTAGGCCACCAAATTCCAGCCCCTCTACTCTGTGGACCTTAGAATGAAACACCACCTCTTTATCCCCCTCCCAACAGTACCTCCATCTTCAACCCCATGCCTTCTGCATCCCATCCTTCCCCAAGAGCAACCCAATATTTCTGTCTCTGGCCATGGCTGTCCTGACTACATCTCTCCTGACACTCATTTCCTCCTCTTCCTATGGTTTCCCTATCCTGTCATAAGCCATCCTTCAAAAAACAAGATGTAAGGAGCTTGCTGCTGAGTTTAGCACTCTGGAAACCAGATGGATTCTCCAGCTCTGACGTGAGGATTACAACTCTAAGGTCCCAATCCAGTATTAAATATAGATTCTAAGTTATGACCCAATAACCCTCACACATCATATACCATAATAAACTCCAAATGGATAAAAGATTTTAAAATGTTAAAAATTAAACTACAGAAAAACATCATACAAAATGGCAGAGTAAGAAGTTATAGGGGTTGGTCCCTCCACCAAAGCAACTATTGAGGTGGAAAGAGCAATTGGAATCGACTCTTTCAGAAGTCTGGAGCCCGATTGGACACTTATAACAAGCAGGGGGGGTGGTACTTGATGAAGGGAGAGGTTGCTGGTCTTTCAGAAGAGAGCATAATGCATGCACTAGCTACCAACCAACACAGTGGGGATAGCAGCCCACATTCCTGAAGTAGCTGGGTGGTCACTGAGTGGGCAGGGGGAACCCTGTCCTCCAAAAATGAGGGGTTTTGCATTTGGGTTTGTCTTCTGGTTCCCTAAGGGACAGGCTTGCTTTGTTTCAGCCCTCTTGGGCTTCAGGATCTTCCTGAGCCACATATATCAGAAGATTTAAAGGGACAGAATCTTTTTGCGGGGAAGGAAGAGAACCCTTTGTCAGGTCATAAACAGAAATTTCAGTAACCCCACAAAACAAAGAATACACACTTTGCAAAAAACCGTTTGAAAAAGTCACCACAAATTGATGGCAGAGTTCTCAACAAGTGTATATCAGCAATCCCTAAGGAGTGAAAAAATTGAATTTCTAGAGATACCACACTGTAATATTCAGAATGCCCAGTTATCAACAAAAAATTACTAATACAAAGAAATAGGAAAGTATGGCCCATTCACAGGAAGAAAGGAATTTGACAGAGACTATCCCTGAGGAAGCCCAGATATTGGACATAGTAGATGAAGACTTTAACTGTCTTACTGTAAATGCTCAATAAATATTGATGATGGGAGGTTTGATGATAAGGGTGAGAAGCTGAAATCTCAAATACTGCTTTGTTGCTTGTTTTATTATGACCTCAAATTAAATTGGGAAACAATGGCCCTTTTGGAAAAAAAAAATAACTGTCTTAAATATGCTCAAAGAGCTGAAGGAAACCATGGGCAAAGAGTTAAGGGAAATCTGAAAAATGGTGTATGAACAAAATGAAACTATCAATAAAGAGATGGAAATTAGTAAAAAGAAAAAAAGGACTCAAGCAGAAATTCTGGAAGCAAAAATACAATAACTGAAATGTACAATTCACTAGGGGCAATCAACAACTAATTTAAGCAGAAAAAAAAGGATCAGTATTCTTGATGATAAGACAATTAAAATTATCAAGTATGAGAAGAAAAATAAACGAGCCTCAGGGATACCATCAAATGTACCTCATCACAGGAGTCTCAGGAGGAGAAGAGAGGGAACAGGGCATTAAAAAAATTGAAGAAATAATGACAAAACATCTGAAATCTGATGAAAAGCATGAATATACATACCCAAGAAGTTCACAAACTCTAAGAAGGATAAACTCAGAGATCCACACCAAGACAAATTATAGTCAAATTGTTGAAACCCAAAGATTTTAAAAGCAGCAAGAGAGAAGTAACTCATTATGTACAAGAGATTCTCAATAAGATTACCAGCTGATTTCAGAAACCATGGGAGGCCAAAAGACAATGGGGGATATATTTAAAGACTGAAGAAAAAAAAAAGTCAAACAAGAATTCTATATATCCAGCAAAACTATGCTGCAAGAATTAAGGAGAAATAAGACATTTCCAGATAAACAAAACTTAGGAAGTTCATTAATAGTAGACCTGCCCACAAGAAAAGCTAACGGGAGAAAGAAAAAACAAACAAACAAACAAACAAATGCTAAAGGAAGACCTTCAGAATGAAACAAAAGGACAAAAAATAATAACTCACAGCCACACAAAGAAACAAAGATCTCTGATAAACATAACAACATAGCAGGCTGGGCGCAGTGGCTCATGTCTGTAATCCCAGCACTTTGGGAGGCCAAGGTGAGCGGATCATTTGAGGTCAGGAGTTTGAGACCAACCAGGCCAACATGGTGAAACCCCATCTCTACAAAAAATAGAAAAATTAGCTGGATGTGGTGACAGGTGCCCATAATCCCAGTTACTCGGGAGGCTGAGGCAGGAGAATGGCTTGAACCCGGAGGGTGGAGGTTGCAGTGAGCCAAGATCACGCCACTGCACTCCAGCCTGGGCGAAAGAGTGAGACTCTGTCTCAAAAAAAAAAAAAAAAAAGTAACAACATTGCCAGGTATGCTGGTTCACACTTGTAATCCCATTACTTTGGGAGGCCAAGGCGGGTGAATTGCTTGAGGTCAGGCGTTCGAGACTAGCCTGGGCAACATAGTGAGACCTCGTGTCTACAAAAAATACAAAAATTAGCCAGGCATGGTGGCCCCACTACTCAGGAGACTGAGGTGGAAGGATCACTTGAGCCCAGGAGGTCGAGGCTGCTGTGAGCTGAGATTGTGCCACCGCACTCCAGCCTGGGTGACAAAGCGAGACCCTGTGTCAAAAAAAAAAAAAAAGATAAAAGCTAGTATTGTATTTTTAGTTTGTAGCCCCACTTTTTTCTATATAATTTAAAAGGAAAATGCATTAAACAATAATTATAAATCTATGTCAATGGGAACACAATGTATAAAGATGTAATCTGTGACAATAACAATATAAAGAAGGGACTAAAATGTATACGAGCAAAATGTTTATATACCATTGAAACTAAGTTGGTATTATTCAAACTAGGTTGTTATCAGTTTAGAATGTTAATTATAATCACCAAGGTATCCATTAGGAAAATAACTACAAAATATATAGAAAAGGAAAGCAAAGGGGAATCAAAATGGTTATGCTACAGACCAGGTGCAGTCGCTCATACCTATAATTCCAGCACTTTGGGTGGCCAAGGCAGGAGGATCGCTTGAGCCCAGGAGTTCAAGACCAGACTGGGCAACATAGCAAGACCTCATCTCTAGAAAAAATAAAAATGAAAAATGAAAACAGTAGCCGGACGTAGTGGCATGTGCCTGTGGTCCCAGCTCCTCAAGAGGCTGAGGCAGGCAGATCATTTGAGCCCAGGAGCTCAAGACTAGCCTGGGCTAGACATCGTGAAACCTCGTCTCTACAAAAAAAAAATAGAAAAATCAGCCAGGCGCAGTGGTGCTTGCCTGTAGTCCCAGCTCCTGGGGAGGTTGAGGTAGGAGGATCACTCGAGCCCAGGAGGCGGAGATTTCAGTGAGCCAAGATCAACCACTGCACTCCAGCCTGGGTGACAGAGTTAGACCCTGTCTCAAAAAAAAAAAAAAAAAAAAGAACTCTTACAATTTAATAATCAGATTTGCTGGAAGGAGGGGAAGGGTATGGATCCTGGAGCGTAGTGAGGAGACAGTCATGGTGTTCCAGGGGAGAGGCAGTGAGGCCTGCATGAAAGCAGTAGCTGGGAATAGAAGGAAGGCTCAGGCCCAGACATATTCAACTAATGAGGACATAAAATTTGGCAGCTGAGGACTGTCCACTTAGTTTGAGATAAGTGGGGCTGGGTGCCAGCAAATCCAGCTTTCAGGAAGGAAAAGGAGTGGGGATAAGTTAAGGGAAGTGAAAGTGTCTAGCTACATAAATAGCAGGCCAATCCCAGCCCACGCACAGACCCCCAACTTGCAGCTGCCCACCTCACCCTCAGCTCTGGCCTCTTACTCACCCTCTACCACAGACATGGCTCAGTCACTGGCTCTGAGCCTCCTTATCCTGGTTCTGGCCTTTGGCATCCCCAGGACCCAAGGTACCAAGGCAGGGAGGGGCCTTGCATGGGGCTAAGGGGATCAAGAGGCCTGGATAGGAGCTTGCCAGCAGCCCCTGGCTCCCTGTGAATCCCACCCTGCAGGCAGTGATGGAGGGGCTCAGGACTGTTGCCTCAAGTACAGCCAAAGGAAGATTCCCGCCAAGGTTGTCCGCAGCTACCGGAAGCAGGAACCAAGCTTAGGCTGCTCCATCCCAGCTATCCTGTGAGTGGACACAAAGGGGTGGGTACTGGCTGGTGACGGGGTGGGGAGGGCATGGTGGGCAAGACTAAGAAGGCTTACTAGCCCCCACCCGCAGGTTCTTGCCCCGCAAGCGCTCTCAGGCAGAGCTATGTGCAGACCCAAAGGAGCTCTGGGTGCAGCAGCTGATGCAGCATCTGGACAAGACACCATCCCCACAGAAACCAGCCCAGGGCTGCAGGAAGGACAGGGGGGCCTCCAAGACTGGCAAGAAAGGAAAGGGCTCCAAAGGCTGCAAGAGGTGAGGAATCTGAGGGATGTGGGTAAAGGGGAGCCTCAGTCAGCCCCTCACACCCCTCTTCTGCCCTCACAGGACTGAGCGGTCACAGACCCCTAAAGGGCCATAGCCCAGTGAGCAGCCTGGAGCCCTGGAGACCCCACCAGCCTCACCAGCGCTTGAAGCCTGAACCCAAGATGCAAGAAGGAGGCTATGCTCAGGGGCCCTGGAGCAGCCACCCCATGCTGGCCTTGCCACACTCTTTCTCCTGCTTTAACCACCCCATCTGCATTCCCAGCTCTACCCTGCATGGCTGAGCTGCCCACAGCAGGCCAGGTCCAGAGAGACCGAGGAGGGAGAGTCTCCCAGGGAGCATGAGAGGAGGCAGCAGGACTGTCCCCTTGAAGGAGAATCATCAGGACCCTGGACCTGATACGGCTCCCCAGTACACCCCACCTCTTCCTTGTAAATATGATTTATACCTAACTGAATAAAAAGCTGTTCTGTCTTCCCACCCAAGTACCTGTTCCCATGTGTTTATGTCCACCGAGATGCCAAGGTTCCTACAGGGTGGGGTCACACACTCTGAGCCGAAAGCTCAGGCTGAAAAATGCTATGTTCTCATCTACCCCAAGAGTTTCCTTGCCTCTCAGGTGCCTGCACCCCTGAGCAGTTAAAGGGAGGCTGAAGGACAGGGTAGGACCCAGTCTTCTGAGGCATCCTGCCAATGGAGAGGTGGTGGACATGGAGCACACACCCCCAACAGCTCTGCAGACCTCTGAGACCCTGATTCTGTCCTGCACTAACTCCAGGGGTGACCTTCGGATCTTTTCCATGACCTTCAGACCTTTCCCCAGATATCCCAGAGGCTTCCTCTCTTTTCCCTGGGAACTATTCAATGAGACCCTCCAAGTGGTTCTTTGGAAGGGTCCCTAGGAGGGAAGCTGTGGCTTGGGCCCATCTATAACACAGACAAACACAAGTTATATTGAAACCTGCCCTAGCACAGTTCCAGCCCTGAGAGAGCCCCTGGGAGGCAAAGACCCGAGGGGACTTGCTTCAGCCCTATTCAGTGAAGCTCGGGCCTTGACCTCTCCTCTTTGTTTAATGGGGCTGTTGTGCTCTCCTTCTATTCCTATCTGGGCCCCTGGACTCACTCAGCCTCCTTCCAGATGGAAAAACCTCCTCCCTTTTTTTTTCCTCCTTTCTTTCCTGGCTGGGATCCAGACTACTTTAGCCCATTTAACCCTTTGAAGTCAAGGAATAAGTCTCCTGGGGCAGGTTTTCAGAACCCCAGGATTCAGGTGTGAATCAGTCTCCTCTCCTGGAAGGCCTCAGATGGCTCTCCTCTACCTCTTCCTCCCCAGAGTGAAGACCCTTCTATTCCCCAAATCACCTCCAGGCGGGGAGAGTAGAAGCCATCAGATTGGGCCAGACAATGTGAGAAAGAAGGGAACAGATCCTGGGGAAGGGCAAGAAAGGTAGGAACCTCAAGGCCGGGCGCGGTGGCTCAGGCCTGTAATCCCAGCACTTTGGGAGGCCAAGGCAGGCGGATCATGAGGTCAGGAGTTCCTGACCAGCCTGGCCAACATGGTGAAACCCCGTCTCTACTAAAAATACAAAAATTAGCCGGGCATTGTGGCGGGCGCCTGTAATCCCAGCTACTCGGGAGGCTGAGGAAGGAGAATCACTTGAACCCAGGAGGCGGAGGTTGCAGTGAGGTGAGATCGATTGTGCCATTGCACTCCAGTCTGGGCGACAAGAGCAAGACTCCATTTCAGGAAAAGAAAAAAAAAGGAGGAGAAGAAGAAGAAGAAAGGTAGGAACCTCAGAAGCTAGAAGTGGCTGCTCCATCAACTTTTCCTTCTGTAGGAGCCTGAGTATGCCACAGCACTTACCACCTATCCTAACATCCTCAAGTATTGGCTTGTCTGCTCCTCTTGCAGCAGGTGAAGACAGGGCCTCTCCCCTGCCTGTCCTAGGGCAGCAGGTGTGAAATTAATCTATAAACTCAGATATGCAAGAAATACTACTTTTGAAATGTTCCTTAAATGAACTTAATTCCTACTCCAAGCTACTGCACTAGAGTGCTGATGAGAAATTCAACATCAGGCACTCTTGTGGGATCCCACCTGCCAAGGGTTATGCAAAGGTCACAGAAACCTCAAGGCCCAAGGGAGGCCTCCTACCTGCCTCCTACACCATCCTATCATTGGACATCAGTCTCGCCAGTGAGTGTTCTGACCCCTGTGGTTCCAGCAGGTATATCTCTTCAAGTCCTAGACTCCACATTTGAGACATAAGAATTCAGATATGACAGCCTCTGGGCTTGGACTTGACCTCCCCAGATACCCCCGAAGCCATCTACTCAACAGTCCTGTCACTTGCCCCATCACAGACAGAAATTAGAGCCCAGTGCCCACTCTGGCTGGATGTACACACTAATCCCTTCGCAGTCCTAAACAATTGTCTCCCTCTCCTCAGCCCCTCCAGGGCATAACCTCTTCCCCAAGTTTACAAGTTTACTTTTTTTTTTTTTTAAGGCTTGCTTTGT